>NC_000015.10:22531968-22705694 GCF_000001405.40 Homo sapiens
TTAGAGTGTATCTTTTTGTATAGCTTTTTTAGTGGCTTTTCTAGGTAATATATTGCATACAGATTGAGCATCTGTAAACCCAAAATCCAAAATCTGAAATGCCCCAAAATTCGAAACTTTATGGCACTCCAGCATGACGCCCCCAAATTGAAAATTCCATTCATAAGTACTTAGCATGAACTTTGTTTCATGCACAAAATTACTAAGCATGCTATATAAAATTACCTTCAGGCTCTGTGTATAAGTTATATATAAAACATAAATGAATGTATTTAGACTTGGGTCCTATCCCCAAAATATCTCATTATTTATATGCAGATATTCCTAAATCTGATAAAAATCTGAAATTTGGAACACTTGTGCTCCTGAGCATTTTATAAGGGACACTCAGCCTGTGTATGTATGAACACTTATCAGATTTTACCTGATGTTGTCATTTACCAGCTTCAGGGATATAGAAACTACCTCCCTTGATGTTCCTTTATGTTCTTCTGTTCATAATATACTTGCCTTAAATATTTCATTTACTTACATTGATAACCACATATGACAATGTTATAATTTTTGGTTGAACCTTCAGACGTAATTTAGCAAAGTCAAGAGGTGAGGGAAAAGTCTATTGTATTTATGCGTTGGTGTGCTTGTCATCTCCTCCTTCCAGAAGTTCCAGGGTTTTCTTCTTTGATGGTTGCCATTCTGCTTAGAGAACTTCCATTAGCCTTTCTTTTGGTGTGGGTCTTCTGGTGACAAATTCTGTTTCACTTCCTCTGAGAATGTTTTGCTTTCCTTTTCATTCCTGAAGGACATTTTTGCTGGATATAAGAATTCTGGGTTAATGGTTCTTTTCATCGCTTGAAAAATATTTTGTACTTTCAGCTGGGCTCCATGGTTTCTGATGAGAAATTCGCTGTCATTTGACTTGTTAATCCACGATAGTTAAGGCACTGTTTTTGTTTAGTGGCTTTTGAAATGTTTTGTCTTTTGTTTTTTGGAGTTTGATTATTATATGTCTTAGTTTGGATTTCTTTGGGTTCATCCTGTTTAGGGTTTGCTTACGTTAGATCTGTAGATTTATGTCTCTTGCCAAATTTGGGAACTTGTAAGCCATCACTTCATGGAGTACAGTTTCAGCCCCACCTTCTTTCTCCTGTCCCTTCGTGAGTTCAGTGACCGGAGTTGTTATAGTCCCATAGGTCCCCGAGACTGTTTTTTTGTTTGTTTGTTTGTTTTGCGGGTACATTGCTTTCTTTCTCCCTTCCCGTCCTGTCCTATCCCATCCCGTCCTGTCCTATCCCGTCCCATCCCGTCCCTTCCCGTCTTCGGAGTCTCTGCCTGTTTCCCAGGCTGGAGTGCAGTGCACGTTCTCGGCTCACTGCAACTGCCGCCTCCCTAGTTCGAATGATTCTCCTGTCTGAGCCTCTCGAGTAGCTGGGATTATAGGTACCCGCCACCATGCCCAGCTCAGTTTTATATTTTTAATAGAGATGAGGTTTCACCATGTTGGCCAGGGTGGTCTCAAAGTCCTAACCTTGTGATCTGCCTGCCTCGGCCTCCCAAAGTGCTGGGATTACAGGTGTGAGCCACCATGCCCAGCCTATTATTTGGCAGTCTTTAAACTAATGATAATAGGGGTCTTCTGCCTTTAGAAGAATTAGAACTGTGATTTAATTTGCAAATGAAAGTAGGTGTTCTCCAGAGTGGGCAACATTTAGATTAAAATAAAGGTTTTGGTTTTAGATTTCAAGGCCAGCTTGAGATGCTGTGCTGGGTTCCCACAGAGGTGGTTCTGCCTTTCTCCAGGGGTCCTAGGCTTGTAGAGTGGTTTGGTCATGTTAGTAATCTGTGTGGATTCAACTTACCTATGGTATCATAAATGTATACATGCACAGTCAATGTTGTGTACATGTATACAGCAGATTTAGAGATTTATACAGTTTATATGCTGCATAAATATATAGACGTATAGTATAACTGTATCATCAACATTGTCATTTGATGGGTCAAATGAGTCAATACCAAAATATAAAGCTTGGGTAAAAAACTGTGTTACTTTAGTTTTTCCCACCATTTCTGAATTTTTGTTTACTTTTCCTTTCTAGCTTTTGTCTGGTCCTCTGAGCCCCAGTGAGAGTTTCCTGAGGTACCTCACCCTTCCACAAGACAACAGGCTTGCCATTGATCTGCAACAAACGGCGGTTGTTGTCATGGCCCATTTAGACCGTCTGGCTACACCCTGTAGATGCCTCCTCTGTGTAGCTCTCCGACGTCTCATAAGGTGTGTGCAAGAACCGTGTTCTCCATGTGTTTTGTAGCTAGTACCACTTGTAGGTTCTCATCCTGGGCCCGTGTGGAGACTTGTTTTTTCTGGTATTGGTAGGGGGAGCTGGCCTGTGGTTTTTAAACGTGTTTGCAGTTGAAGGTGTTATCCGTGTTGAGAGTGAGTGATGAGCAAGCTGAGGCGCACAGGCCTGGCGACCCAACCTGGGGGCCCGGGTTCCAGGTTCAGGTGGCACAGCCCCAGAGAGCTCCCCTTTATCCACAGCCCCAGGCCCTCCCACCTTCTGCAGGGGGTTCCACAGCCTTCTTCATACTCTGAACGCAGGCTGTCTTAGTATGTCATGCTGGTTATAGTAGTGACAGTATAATTATGTATTATATCTCTTATGTAATAGTAATGGTAGTGATTTGCATGTGTGGAGCACCTGTAGGGTGCAGGCCCGCTGAGGACCTCATGCACGCTGTTGTATCTCATTATGTCAATGAGAAAACTGCCTTTGGGAATGGTAGTGAACTTTGCCAGTGCAGAACAGTAATCCTAGTTTTGAATCCAGATTTTTCTAACATTTTATTTCTAGTATAAAGAGTATTTATTTTGTTTTACAGTCATTAAAAAAAAAAAATACAGTCACATGGTTCAAAAATCAAACCTAGGCAGAGACACACTGTCGCTTCCCCTGCCCACCCCTTCCACCCATTTTCCCACCTGCTCCCTCTGACTTTCCAGTCTCCTCTGTAACCTCCTTGTTCTCTGGCATGAGTACGTTCGTGGTAGCATGCTTCATTACTTGTGTTGCTTGTTTTTTGTTTTTTTTTTTAACTAACCATATATACTGGAGTACCTTATCAGAGTGTCCCTCTTTGTTTTTATAAATCAGCTTAGTCTTCAGTGTGTGGATGTGTCTTTTATCTATCTTTCTTTAGTGAGTCTCTTATTGGTGGACACTTGGGCTTATTGCCACAATGTTGCTATACAAATAGTGCTGAGGGTCGGGTGTAGTGGCTCACGCCTGTAATCCCAGCACTTTGGGAGGTCGAGGTGGGTGGATCACCTGAGGTTGGGAGTTTGAGATCAGCCTGGCCAACTTGGAGAAACCCCGTCTCTACTAAAAAATACAAAAATTAGCGGGGCGTGGTGACGGGTGCCTGTAATCCCAGCTACTTGGGAGGCTGAGGCAGGAGAATCGCTTGAACCTGGGAGGCAGAGGTTGCAGTGAGCCGAGATCGCGCCACTGCACTCCAGGCTGGGCAACAAGAGTGAAACTCCATCTCAAACAACAACAACAGAAAACACAAATAGTACTGCAAGGCCTGGCCTGGAACACGTGTCCTCCATGTGTGCACGCGTGTGTGCCTGTGCACATGCACAGGTGGGGATGGACCTCGTGTGGGCTGGTTGTCACCAGATTGCTCCTGTACATCTTGATTTCTCTCACCACCAATAGGGATGCTGGTCTCCCAGCCTTGTGTGTGGGCTTTTGGGATTTTGCCTGCTAAAGCACAAAGTGGTGACCCCGATATAGTTTGAGCATTTTAAAATATATTAGTATTTAAGGGCCATTTATACTACTTTTTAATGGGCTCTGTTGAAATGCAATGGAAATGGAAAAATAGCCTGTTCAGTTGCTTCATCATACCTGTTAAATGCAGTAATATGGCATGGTACGAGATGGGGTTTCACTGTGTTAGCCAGGATGGTCTCGATCTCCTGACTTCATGATCTGCCCGCCTCGGCCTCCCAAAGTGCTGGGATTATAGGCATGAGCCACCGCGCCCGGCTGATTGGATTATTTTAAAGCATAACTCTGTCTTTAAAACATTTTAAGGTATTTTACCTCTTAATGATAAGGATTTTAAAAAAACCCTACAATATCATTATCCTGTCTATAAGATTAACAGTGATTCCTTAATCTAACATGCAGTCCATGTTACATTTTCCTGGACTATCTCAAAAATGCCTTTTTTAGGTGGTAATTTTGAATTAAGACCTGAGCATGTTCTGCGTATTGGCATTGCTTGACATATGCTTCTAGTCTCTTTCCCCAAACAACATGGCTCCAGGCCCTCTTCTCCCTGTCTCTGATCATACCGTTTTCTTTTTCAAAGAAGCAGGTTGGTTATTTTGGAGAACTTCACATTTTCTGAACTTGGTTGATTGCATTCTCTTATTCTAGACCAACATGTTCTTCTGTTAGTTACATTAATCTGCTGGTTAGATCTAGAGGTTTGGTTGGATTTGAATTCAGTCTCGTTGGGGCGGTGTTATGTCTGGGGTCATGCTGCATGCTTTCTGTTGGCTCAGGAGGCCTGTAATGCTCGGTGGCTCCCCGCTTTAGTTCTGTGAAGCTAGACCAGGGAATTCATGTGTTGCGTATCCTCTATAAAATCCCCTACCAACCTTGCCCTCTGCTGTCTGGTTAGCAGGAGGTACAATTTGTACAGCAAGGACATAATCTAAGCTTGACTTCTTGAACTGCCACCTCCCTTTAACTATTTTTCATAATATTGAGTTGGTATCCTAGCACTTGCATAGGTGACCACCACTCAGGTTTTCTTTTTTTTGAGTATTTTTATGAACTAACAGACTTTTATTGATTTGGTGTTTCTTTTCTTTTTTAGCTTTTTCCCCCTTTAATGTGTAAATATATACATTTAAAGGCATAAATGCCCTCAAGCATGCATTTAGTTGTATGTCACCAATTTCGATCTGCAGTATTTTGATTATTAACTGAACACATTTTCTAATTTTCATAGTCATTTTTTCTTAGAATTTTGGGTTACTTATAAGTGTATCTTGTAATTTTCAAATATGTGGATGAATATTTTTATTTTCTGTGTATACAGAGTCATTTTTATTTTATTTTGAATGAATTTTTGAAAACCTATTTGTAATTTAACTGCATTGTAGTCAGCACACATGCTCTGTAAGTTTATTTCTTTGAAATCTGTTGAGATTTACTCTATGGCCTGGCATGGCCCGATTTGGTATTCATGCTGCCTAGACTTTTT
Organism: Homo sapiens; assembly: GCF_000001405.40. Classification (NCBI taxonomy): domain Eukaryota; kingdom Metazoa; phylum Chordata; class Mammalia; order Primates; family Hominidae; genus Homo; species Homo sapiens. The sequence goes on from NC_000015.10 coordinate 22,537,255, forward strand.
TTTAAAGCATTCTATATTTAACAGAATTTGTATGTGTGGTATTAGTTTCAGAGCTAGGTATGTATTTCTCCCATTGTGATTGTGGATTTGTTTATTTCTGCTTGTAGTTCTTTCACACAGTTTGTTCTTTTCATTTTACCTGTTGATTGATCAATGGACTGATTCTGGTTTCTGTATATACAGAGTCATTTTTTACAGGTCAGAACTGTAGAAATAATGAGAAAGTGACATTTGTACGCATAGCTGATTTGGAGAACCATAATAACGATGGAGGCTTCTGGACTGTGATTGACGGGAAAGTGTATGATATAAAGGACTTCCAGACACAGTCGTTAACAGAAAATAGTATTCTTGGTAAGATTACACTTGTTATTTCCTGGTTAAAAGTTACAGCCTGTATCATTTTAAGCAGAGTATTTGGCTTATAAATGATTCCTTTAGTTTTGTGCCAGCCCCCGCATATTTTAATGTATCTGTGGCTTTGGTGTCTGTCTTATCAACAAATTCAGCACATTCGAAGAATTTCCTTTCATTATGTATCTTTTGTTTTAATACTTGGAACTCATTTCAAGTTCCGAGTTGGCCCAGGCAACCCTGGGAGACAGTGGGAGGTCATTATATTCTGGTAACCCTCACTTTTGAGTTAAGAGCCTAACTTATTTCCTACTCACTATTTCTCCTGTAGCTCTTCAGGCAAGCTGAATTGAACTCATGTTGCTTTTTCCCTTTTTGTTTCAGCTCAGTTTGCAGGGGAAGACCCAGTGGTAGCTTTGGAAGCTGCTTTGCAGTTTGAAGACACCCGGGAATCCATGCACGCATTTTGTGTTGGCCAGTATTTGGAGGTGAGGCTGTATGCCTTGAGTGATGCAGAGGATGGCAGGGGATACCCTCTGTGTGTTTGTGATAGGAATATTTGGATCTAGAAGTACTGATATCTGGGTCTTTTGCGGGGCATTAGGGATAAATATAAAGATCCTTTAGAAGTTTTGTCATAAATGAATTTACATTTATTCATGTTAAGATCTGTGATGTACTGGTCTTGAAAGATTGTTTTTTAAATGATCAATTTGTGAGAAATATAGGCAGTGTTCCACAAGAAAAGAGGTTAAACTTTGGTCTTATGTAGAAATTTGGAATGGCTTATAATCTTGAGGTATGTATTTTTTGGGAAGAACTATGTAGAAGTGTAATTCTTTACAATAGAAATATGTCCTTCCTATGTATTCACGAACACATAGAATTTATATATTGGGATTAGCTTACTAGGTATCGACAAGTAATAAGATGTATTAAATGCCATTAGGGCAGGGCTTAAAACAGTTTATGAAGGGGAGAATTAACTTTGCTGTAAATATCTTCTGTGACTGAAAAAGTTGAACTCTTGCTTTTTTCAGAGTTTGATTTTTGTTAGAATAAATTTCATTTCCTCTACATGTGTGGTCACAGTCCACTAATACTTGTCATCGAATACTTGTCATAGTTTTGTTGCCCAGTGGGTTCTTTATGCATGTAACAATTCATTATACTTTCTGAAGCATGGTGTACAGTCACTTTGGAAACTGATTCCTAAGGAATATTCTAGCCAAATCATGTATCTGTGGTTTAGTTTTTCTACAGTAGGGCTGTGCGGTTGCTGCCTGCTTTATAGGGCATGTGGGTTTATATGGTATCTGCTGTTACTTGGGCACAGCAGCACCAACTCATTACAGGATGGAGGGGCAGAACGCCCAGAGCACCCCTGGGCTCACGTGCGGTACAGCTGCAGGAGAGAGCTGTCCTTTTGGTTTTATGTTTTTAATTAATTCTGTTTCCTCAGATTGATGATTAAATTTATTTTTCCAGCCTGACCAAGAAGGCGTCACCATACCAGATCTGGGGAGTCTCTCCTCACCTCTGATAGACACAGAGAGGAATCTGGGCCTGCTTCTCGGATTACACGCTTCCTATTTAGCAATGAGCACACCGCTGTCTCCTGTCGAGATTGAATGTGCCAGTAAGAAAATCTTTACTTTTTGCTAATCAGCAGATTTTTTTTTTTTTGAACTGTAAGTGCCATTAAGAGTGGGAGAGGGCCAGGCACAGTGGTTCATGCCTGTAATCCCAGCACTTTGGGAGGTTGTGGCACGTGGATTGCTTGAGATCAAGATTTTGAGACCAGCCTGGGCAACATGGCAAAACCCCATCTCTACAAAAAACACAAAAATTAGCCAGGCATGTTGGCACGTATTTGTAGTCCCAGATACTCAGGAGGCTGAGGTAGGAGGATTGCTTGAGCCTGGGAGGTTGAGGCTGCAGTGAGTCATGATCATACCACTGCACTCCAGCCTGGGTGACAGAGCAAGACTCTCTCTTTAAAAAAGCAGGAGATGGCCAGGCAGTGGCTCATGCCTGTAATCCCAGCACTTTGGGAGGCTGAGGCGGGTGGATCACCTGAGGTCAGGAGTTCAAGACCAGCCTGGCCAATGTGGTGAAACCCCATGTCTACTAAAAATGCAAAAATTAGCTGGGTGTGGTGACGGGTGCCTGTAATCCTAGGTACTCGGGAGGCTGAGGTAGGAGAATTGCTTGAACCCAGGAGACGGAGGTTGCAGTGAGCTGAGATCACGCCACTGCACTCCAGCCTGGGTGACAAGAGCGAGACTCGGTCTCAAAAAAAAAAAAGGAGAGGAGGATTCAACACAGTTGATGATGACAAAAAAAAAAATAATAAGGATAGTGAGACTCAATCAGGTAGAAACAGCTGTGAGTGGTTGTCATTTGCCCTCATGGTCTGTTGCTGCAGAGGAAGCTAAAAAGTGTGCAGGAATGTCTACCCGTCTGCCCTTGGTGGTCTCACGTATTGCAGCCTCTGCCTGATGGGCCCAGCATGGCTTTTGTCTCCCTGCATGCCCAGAAATTGCACAGAATGTGGATCAGCTGTCCTCTCAGGGAAGAGCATACTATTTGAGCACTGCGTTTTTACCAGACCAGGCTCAAGTCAGTTATATTTCAGGATGGCAGCCTTTGTAACCACCTAAAATAATAAGCTTCTTTCTGTCTCCTAAGATGTGTTTCCATTTTCCTTCATGTAGTTGTGCATTTCCCATCTGTCTGTCTGTCCATCCATGTGAGCAGCTTCTGTTGAGCATTTGCCTGGTGCCGTTACCATACGAGGTGTTCAGGATACAGTGATAGATAGGACACACCTCTGCTTTCTGGTGCCGTTACCATGCGAGGTGTTCAGGATGCAGTGATGGGTAGGACACGCCTCTGCTTTCAGCTGCTGCTTGTTGATGAGCCACCATTCTAAGCAGGTCACATTACAAGGTGGTGAATGGTGAAATGGAGATGTTCATACATGGTTCTGGGAGAAGAAAGGCTTCACATTGGCAGCAGTCCTGAAATTGCGTGAGAGAGCATTCTGGGCAGAAAACACAGGAGTGTCAAGGGCACTGCTGAGAGGAGCAGGGCTTTCCTGCTGCTTGCAGGAGTGGGTGTGGCAGAGGCTTGCAGGGAAGGAGGATCTTGGTGTCCATACAGCCCCCCGTTGGGCGGACCTTTGTGCAGTGCTAGGTGCTGGGCTGCCTGTGGTGCCCTCTGAGGTGTCTGCTTCCTTCCCTCCTCCTCAAGGCTCATTGCTTGCCAGAAGATGGGCTTTGTTTAAATTGGCAAGGAGGGCAGGGCTGGCGAGCTCCAGGGCAGAGGGTGCCATGGGCCCTGGCAGGTGGGTCCGATCCACAGGAGGATCAGAGGCTTATCTTGGAGCAGTAAGGAGGGGCTGTCCTGTGCTTAAAGAGAGGGGGCCAGAGAGAGTCGGCATTGGATTAGTGTTTCAGAAGAACGAATGTGGTGTGTTGGGGAATGCTCCTGAGTGCTCTAAAATCTAAATGTCCAGTAAAAGAACACTAAGTGCATCCCGCTTTGATTGCTTGGATTTGGAGCAGTATTTGATAACACAGATCGTTAATAGAGATCTGTAGTGGTGCACTCCCTCAAGTTGCCATAAGCAGTTGTAATTAACATTCGCACTGGTTGATCCCATGCCTTGCACCACGCACAGGTCTCCTTTCCAGTCCATCGGCCCTCCCATCTCCAAGGATCTATCCTTCATTACAGATTGTGTGTTTCTTAAATATTTTCTCCTTTTCATTCCTTTATAAGTGCTCTAGGAATACATAGCCTACCCTGAGGATGTAATTCTTTGTAGAAACCCTTCAGATGTGCTATTCCCTGCCTGGATACTCAGCGTCTGGGTCTTATTCCTCATCTTAGCTCAGTTGTTGCTTCCACAAGTCCCTCACTGACCCTCAGAATAGCGGTGGTCTGTCTTCCAGTCTCCCTGGTACCCCCATAGTCATCTGTTGCACAGTTTCGGACTTGAAATCCTGTGATTAATTGTGTCAGCGGTGCCCTTTGCTGCCTTCCCTGTTAGAATGTGCACCTCAGTCTTCACACGGTACCTGTGGAACCAGGCAGCTGCAGGCAGAGCACAGGTATCCAGAGAATGTTGGACTGGAACTACGATCCTGAGTTCTGATGCCATGCCTGAGGCGTGTGGAATCACCAGAAAGTGTGTTCACGTAGATAGAGGAATTATAAGTCAACCTGTGTAAACATGTTAGGTGGAGCTCTTTCATATGAATGATGCTGAATTTCACCTTCTAAATTGAGTGTTCAGTTGAGCATCTTTTTTTTTTTTTAGTATTTATTTTGAGTTGTGCACTTGAGTTTCTCTTTCATGTTTGTGTGTGCATTTTCTAGAATGGCTTCAGTCATCCATCTTCTCTGGAGGCCTGCAGACCAGCCAGATCCACTACAGCTACAACGAGGAGAAAGACGAGGACCACTGCAGCTCCCCAGGGGGCACACCTGCCAGCAAATCTCGACTCTGCTCCCACAGACGGGCCCTGGGGGACCATTCCCAGGCATTTCTGCAAGCCATTGCAGACAACAACATTCAGGATCACAACGTGAAGGTGAGCTAGGCCTGCCCCCACTGCCACCTCAGTGCTCTGTTTATCTGAGGACTTTGACATAGGAATACTTATGTGCTCTTTGGTTAACACAGCACAGACTTTGTTTCATGTATTATTTGGAGGGTTTTGAGGTGAGAACCTGATTGTGTTAACATGCTAGCGAGGCTTCAGAAGCATTAGTGATTGCAAGTGCGTCAGAAGCTGTGGCATGTTTAAGATTTGTGAAGACTCACTGGGTTTCCCTGAAGTTACTTCCAGCTGTTCCTGTTGCAGGACTTTTTGTGTCAAATAGAAAGGTACTGTAGGCAGTGCCATTTGACCACACCGATCATGTTTCCCCCCGAGCATCCCGTGGAAGAGGTCGGTCGCTTGCTGTTATGTTGCCTCTTAAAACATGAAGATTTAGGTAAGGAGCTCAATATCTTTGTACTTTAGCTACACTGCAGATTCCTCGACTAACCTGTGGTACGTATTCATTCCTTCACTGCCCTTCTTTTAAATGTCTTTTTACAGGTCATGTGGCATTATCTTTAGTTCATGCAGGTGCACTTGATATTGAGCAAGTAAAGCACAGAACGTTGCCTAAGTCAGTGGTGGATGTTTGTAGAGTTGTCTACCAAGCAAAATGTTCGCTCATTAAGGTGATAGATTTTAATTCTTTTTATTCTGTGCTTTGCAGACAGTTGCTGAAATATTTGTTGTTAAAGTTGTCTTTTCCTGGTTAACTTTGCAGACTCATCAAGAACAGGGCCGTTCTTACAAGGAGGTCTGCGCTCCTGTCATCAAACGTTTGAGATTCCTCTTTAATGAATTGAGACCTGCTGTTTGTAATGACCTCTCTATAATGTCTAAGTTTAAATTGTTAAGTTCTTTGCCCCATTGGAGGAGGATAGCTCAGAAGATAATTCGAGAACCAAGGAAAAAGAGAGGTAAGAATGTAAAAGGACAGAAGATACTATTAAAGCTTGTGCTTCACCCTGCCACGTTGGATCTGTGATTTCAGAGTGAAGTTTCTCTACTGTTGATTCCATGTAACATTTCTACCTGCTGCCATCATTTTTATTATAGTTAGGATTAAATACAGACATCTCGCTTATTTTTCCAAATGATCAGACAATGAGGCAGTTTAGGAATTGAGTGTGGTATGATTTGATTACTAGTAAATTGATGTTGAAAACGTAAATAATCTTTGCTAAATTGATGGGAACAAGGAAGTACTTTTATTAGTTATCCTGGTAATGAGATATAATGGGAACATTTAAACTTATTGCCATTCTTCTAAAGAAATGTTTTTTGTTTGGAAATATTGAGTATTCTGATACATGAAGAACTATAAAGGGAAGCTAAAAGAGTTACTGACATTTTCCTGGAAGTAGCTGTGTAAGGGTACAGAAAAGTCTTTTTGCATTAAATCCAAATTTGAATAAAAATGCTTAGAAATTATAAAATAGTTTAGAATTTAGTCACTTGTGATTATAAATAAACTACAGAAATTTCTGATTATATCCTTTTTTTTTTTTCTTTGAGATGGAGTCTTGGTCTGTTGCCAGGCTGGAGTGCAGTGGTGCGATCTCAGCTCACTGCAACCTCCGCCTCCCAGGTTCAAACGATTCCCCTGCCTCAGCCTTCCAAGTAGCTGGGATTACAGGCACGCGCCACCACTCCTGGCTAATTTTTATATTTTAGTAGAGACGGAGTTTCACCATGTTGGCCAAGATGGTCTTGATCTCCTGACCTCGTGATCTGCCTGCCTCGGCCTCCCAAAGTGCTGGGATTACGGGCGTGAGCCACCGCGCCTGGCCTCTGATCATATTATGACTTATACTGATTTACTCACAAACCTGCTTATTGAACAGTATTGATTACTGACTTTCTGATGGGCATTTTGAACAATAAGCTTATGAAAGACTAAAGTGTGTTAGAAGCCATCCTAATTTGATTGTTCCTGAACAAACCCTACACCATAACAGCCTGTCTGAATGCGAGGGGTGCTCTGGATCAGGAAGTCACAGCAGTCACACTGCTGCGATTCCTTTAACCCAGGCATGCAGGAACTCAGCCTGGGCCCAGGAGACAGGCTGCCTCGGAATGAGGGAGAGAGACTCCACATTTGCCATCTCATATCCGTGGGTTCTGAGCCCACACTGTCACTTTTAGAGTTTCTTGTGGGTTTATAGATTTATCGTGTGGTGTTTCAAGCTGGTTTTCTTTTTTTTTTGGAAAGTAAGTAACTTGAAAAGATTAAGTGATTAATATTCCTGTTGCTGTGTCAGGGATCCCCGAGCCTTCTCTCAGGCTTGATTCACTAAAAGGACTCAGAAGAGCTGTTATAGTCACAGCTGTGTTTTTACTGCAAAAAGGATACAGATTAAAATTAGCAGAGGGAAGGGTGCATGGAGGGAAGTCCAGAGGAAACTAGGCACACGCTTTGGTGTCTCTCCCCAGTGGCGTCACGTGGATGTGCTTAGCTCTCCCAGCAACAGTGTCACATCATGTGTGAAGAATTGTTAACCAGGCCAGCGCACCTGAGCCTCGAGTCTAGAGATTTTGTTGGGGGCCAGTCACATACGCAGGCAGTGCCCCTGTGACTGACCTCACTCAGGCTCCAGTGCCCCAGTGCAAAAACAAGTGGTCCCTCGCAAGTCCCATCATTAGCATAAACTACCTGGCCAGACCACTGCCACAAGGTCCTGGGTGTCAGGTATACCAAAAAACTTCTCAGGCAGGATGTTCCAAGGGCTCAGAGCTCAGCTCCTAGAAGAAGGACCAATCCTGAAGGGACAGACCTTCCTTGGGAATTTGCAGGGTTTGAGCAACCCCGGCCTGCTATGTTAGCTCTTTACTGCCCAGATGTATTATCATGTTGCTTATTTTTTATATTATATGCTGAGGAGATTTAGACCAAAAATTTTAAAAGAGATAAAGTATAGGGAGGAAATTCCACATATCACAGTGAATTCAGTTGATTCAGTTACACAGTAACAGAACCACTGAACTGGACCAGGGTGGACAAGCCAGGAACTATGGGCCAAATTCTACCTCTTGCTGGCTTTGGGTTGCCCATGGACTAAGACCTTTTTTTTTTTTTCCAGTTTGAAATTGTTATTTAAAAATTAAAAGAAGTATATTATTTTGGCACATGAAAATTACATGAAGCTAAAATTGTAGCACCATAAATAAAGTTTTACAGGAGCACAGCCACACCTGTTGCTTTATCTGTGGTTACTTTTTGTGCTACAGCAGCAGAGTTGAGTATTTGCGACAGACAGCATGGCCTGAAAGACTCAAATGTTCACTCTCTGGCACTTGAGGAAGAGCTTGCTGGCTGCCGGGCTTCCCCTGCTTCGGGGCTTCTCCCCTCGTCGCACTCTCACTTTGTCTTTTTGTTCTGCCAGGGTGATCATTTCACTCTTGTTGTTGAGCATTGCAATTTATAATGTTGTTCAGATGTTTATTTGAATGAAATATTTGTCCTTCATGTAAATCTAAATATGTCTTAATTTAAAATTAATATTTAAGTGTATGATTTTTATAGTGAATGATGTTTTAAAACACAGTTCCTAAGAAGCCAGAATCTACGGATGATGAAGAAAAAATTGGAAACGAAGAGAGTGATTTAGAAGAAGCTTGCATTTTGCCTCATAGTCCAATAAATGTGGACAAGAGACCCATTGCAATTAAATCACCCAAGGTGCGGTATTTTCTGTGATTCTGAGGTTGGCTGAATAGAATCGTAGCATGTAGCACAGGAATCCACAGTCTTGTACCTCTGTACCTGAGCATCTGGAGGGAGGGACGGGCGGTTGTTAGAAATACGGCCCCAGTGATGCTTCATGAACTTGACTTATGATGTCCTGGTCAGAGCTGTAGCTGGAGAAGGGTTTCCTTTTATTTTTGGTATTAGATTGTATCATTAATTATTCACCATTCATTCCTTAAATATATTCTTTGTTCCAGAAACAGTGCTGGGCCCTGTGGCTGTTAATATGAACCATAACTTAACTTAGTATGCCAAGCTAGCCTGTTCCAACATATAGTATAGAGATTATAAATTCACTTATATTTATAGCATAGTTTTAAAAACATGTATTACTAAATTTAACGTATTTTAACCAATTTAAACCCATAAGCATTATTTATATTTTACTTGAATAACTTTTAGAGCACAGTTTATTATTAAATAGGGTAGACTAATGATGAAAATTGTTTTCCTTTGTTAGGACAAATGGCAGCCGCTGTTGAGTACTGTTACAGATGTTCACAAATACAAGTGGTTGAAGCAGAATGTGCAGGGTCTTTATCCGCAGTCTCCACTCCTCAGTACAATTGCTGAATTTGCCCTTAAAGAAGAGCCAGTGGATGTGGAAAAGAGAAAGTGCCTACTAAAACAGGTAACATTTGATGAGAAATGCTTCTCTGCATTGGGTAATATACATAACACTTAACTGTATGCATTGATATTTTGCAGTTGGAGAGAGCAGAGGTTCGCCTGGAAGGGATAGATACAATTTTAAAATTGTATCTGGTGAGCAAGAATTTCTTACTTCCATCTGTGCCGTATGCGATGTTTTGTGGATGGCAAAGACTTATTCCTGAGGGAATCGATATAGGGTAAAACGTTAGCATATTTTTTTCTTAATTAAGGAAGCTGTGGCAACAGAATGTTTTTCTGTAACAGTTAGAAGTCTGGCAGTGTCCCGAGTCAAATTCTTTATCTTTATTTGAAAGGGAACCTCTTACTGATTGTTTAAAGGATGTTGATTTGATCCCGCCTTTTAATCGGATGCTGCTGGAAGTCACCTTTGGCAAGCTGTACGCTTGGGCTGTTCAGAACATTCGAAATGTTTTGGTGGATGCCAGTGCCAAATTTAAAGAGCTTGGTGAGTCAATAATTGTATCAATGTTATTTTATAGTTTGCCTTTAATTATATGTTGTGGAAACTTGCAAATGCCAATTTTTGCTTTTGAGAAGACTTTAATAAGTTTGTACTTTGTACTTGTATAATCTATGCTGCTGTCAGCTTTCTCAGATTTTAAACAAAACTTTAAAATTTAGCAGGAGACACAATGTTGAAGTACTCTAGTATAACATTTTTACATTTTGACATTTTTATGTGTATCACCACATATCCTAAAGTGTCTGTGTCCTATATTGATATTTATTTCCTGGATAGTTTGAGCATCTACAGAGAGTTGATTGGATTGGTTTTGTGGAGGAAAAGTGAGACATAACTTTTATATTTGAAATGGAAGGAATGGAATAGGGCACCGGTGTATTCAGAGAGCAGCATACTAAGTCCTGTAGACAGATGGAACGACCTGTGCATAGAATGCAGGGGGTAGGCCCATCGTGCAGCATGACAGAGCTGCCCACTCTGTGGAAACCACTGAAAAATAGTCAGATGTTTAGAGTAATCGCCCGTGCCTTCTGCATTACGTTTATGCTTGTATCCATGCGAGAGAAATGTCAGTGGGTGTCAAAATAGTCAGATGATTAGAGTAATTGCCCATGCTTTCTGCGTTACGTTTATTCTTGTATCCACGCACAAGAAATGTCAGTGGGTGTCAGTGCTTATTAGTCAGATGTTTAGAGTAATTGCCCGTGCTTTCTGCATTACATTTATTCTTGTATCCATTACAAGAAATGTCAGTGGGTGCCAATGCTCATTAGGTATCCAGCCGGTTCCCCTGCAAACCATCACCAATGAGAACCCATCGGGACCGAGCCTGGGGACCATCCCGCAAGCCCACTTCCTCCTGGTGATGCTCAGCATGCTCACCCTGCAGCACAGCGCAAACAACCTTGACCTCCTGCTCAATTCCGGCACGCTGGCCCTCGCTCAGACGGCACTGCGCCTGATTGGTAGGTCTGCACTGGCTTGAGAGCCTTTGGGAAAACGTCAAGATTTTGCTTTGATTTATTTTCTTTCTTTTTTTTAAAAAAAGCTTTTTGTAAATTATGGTAAGACACAAATAGCAGAAAGTGTAGCATTTTAACGTCGCAATTCAGCGGTATTAAATACATTCACAATTTTCTAGAGTCATCACCACTGTCTAGTTGTAGAACTTTTTCATCACTATAAATGCACCCCATTTAGCCATCAGTCCTGACTCCCCTGCTCTCCAGCCCCTGGTAGTCACAAATCTGCTTTCTCTGTCTATGGATTTGCATATCCCGGATATTTCATATAAATGGAATCATACCATTTGTGGCCTTTGTGTCTGGGTTATTTCATTTGGTATATATCAGTACTTTATTTTTATGGCTGAAAAAGATTTCATTGTATGAATATATAACATTTTGTTTACTCATTTATCTGTTGATGGACATTTGGGTTGGTTTTGCCTTTTGACTTTTGTGAATAGTGCTGCTAGGAACATTTATATACAAGTACTTGTTTGAACACTTGTTTCTAGTTCTTTTGATTATACACCTAGGACTGGAATTACAGGGTCATATGGTACAACTATGTGTAACTTACTGAGAAACTACCAAAGTTTTCCACAGTGCCATATCATTTTTACATTCCCATCACCAGTGGGCAGGATTCCAGGGTTCCAGTTTCTCTGCTTCCCTGCCAACACTATTTTTTGTGGTTTTCTTTTTTTTTTTGGATTAAGGCCATCCTAGCGGGTGTGAAGTGGTATCTCATTGTGATTTTGGTTTGCATTTCACTAATGATGAATGACATTGAGCTTCTTTACATGTTTGTGCTTGTTGGCCATTTGTATATCTTCTTTGGAGAAGTGTCTATTCAAGTCCCTTTCTCTTTATTTTTTATTTTATTTTTTTGAGACGGAGTCTCACTCTGTCGCCCAAGCTGGAGCGCAGTGGCACGATCTCGGCTCACTGCAACCTCCGCCTCCCGGGTTCAAGCACTTCTTGTGCCTCAGCCTCCCAAGTAGCTGGGATTACAGTCACACACCACCACACCTGGCTAACTTTTGTATTTTTAGTAGAGATGGGATTTCGCCATGTTGGCCAGGCTGGTCTGGAACTCCTGACCTCAGGTGATCTGCCTGCCCTGGCCTCCCAGAGTGCTGGGATAACAGGCGTGAGCCACTGCGCCCAGCCCCTTTCTCCTTTTTAAATAGGGTTATTTGTCGTCATCTTGTTGTACCAATAAATGCACTATATAAGTGTATCAAACCTTTAAAGAAGAATTAACACCAGTCCTCAGACTCTTTAAAAAGTTCGTGTATACTAGACCTTCACAGATCTGTAGACCTTTATCAGGTATATCATTTGAGGGTATTTTCTCCTGTTCTCTGGATTGTATTCCCTTAGATAGAGAAGTTTTTTATTTTGATGAAGTTCAATTTATCTGTTTCTCTTTTGTCGTCTATGCTTTTGATATCATATCCAAAAAGCCATTTCCAAACACAAGGTTGATGAAGATTATCCTCATGTTTTCTTCTGTAAGTTTTATAGTTTCAGCTCTTATATTTAGATCTTTGGTCCATTTTTAGGTAATTTCTTTTACACAGTGTGAGGTAAGAGTCCAGCCTTTTTCTTTTGTTGATCTGATTGTTTCAATACCACTTGTTGAGGACTGTTCTTTCCCTGAAGTTCTGGGTACCCTTGGCAAAAATCAGTTGGCTGTGGATATTTAGGTTTATTTCTGGACTCTCAATTACATTATCACATTCTATATGTTGATAATTGTGCAGGTACCGCCCTGTTTTGAACATTGTAGTTTTGTACTGTTTTAAAATTGAGAAGTGTGTTTTCTTTCTCAAGATGATTTTGGCTACTTTGGGTCCCTTGCATTTTCACATGAACTTCAAGGCTGGCTTTTCCATATCTGCAAAAAAAGACCATTGGGATTTTTGCTAGGGATTGAATCTGTAGATTGTTTTGGGAAATAGTGCCATTTTAACAATGTTAACATCCATTCTCTGAATGTGGAATGTCTTTCCATTTATTTCTGTCCTCTTTAATTTCTTTCAGCAATATTTTATTGTTTTACAGTTATCAGGGTAATAATGGCCTCATAGAATGAACTAGGTAGTGTTCCCATATATTCTGTTTTTAGAAGAGTTTGAGGATTGGTGTCAGTTCAGCTTTAAATGTTTGGTAGAGTTGACCACCTAAGCTTTTCTTTGTTGAAAGATTTTTTTTTTTTTTTCTTTGAGACGGAGTCTCACACTGTTGCCCGGGCTGGACTGCAGTGGCATGATCTCGGCCCACTGCAAGCTCCGCCTCCCGGGTTCACGCCATTCTCCTTCCTTAGCCTCCTGAGTAGCTGGGATTATAGTCGCCAGCCACCACGCCCGGCTAATTTTTTGTATTTTTAGTAGAGACGGGGTTTCACTGTGTTAGCCAGGATGCTCTCGATTTCCTGACCTCGTGATCCACCCGCCTCGGCCTCCCAAAGTGCTGGGATTACAGGCGTGAGCCACGGCGCCTGGCCTGAAAGATTTTTAATTACCGATTCAATCTCTTTACTTGTTATGGCTCTATTCAGATTTTCTATTTCTTCTTGAGTCAGTTTGGGTAATTTATGTTTCTAGGAATGTGTCCATTTTATCTAGGCTATTTTATTTGTTGGCATACAGTTGTTCACAGTGTTCTTTTATAATCTTTTTTATTTTTATGTTGGTAGTACTGTCTCCACTTACATTTCTGATGTTAGTTATTTGCATCTTTTCTCTTTTTTTTTCTTTTTTTTTTTTTTTTTTTTTGAGATGGAGTCTCACTCTGTTGCCAGGCCAGAGTGCAGTGACACAGTCTTGGCTCACTGCAACCTCCGCCTCCTGGATTCAAGTGATTCTCCTGCCTCAGCCTCCCAAGTAAGCTGGGACTACAGGCGCCTGCCGCCAGGCCTGGCTAATTTTTTTTGTATTTTTAGTGGAGATGGGGTTTCACCATGTTGACCAGGATGACCTAAATCTCTTGACCTTGTGATCCGCCCACCTCAGCTTCCCAAAGTGCTGGGATTAGAGGCGTGAGCCACCTTGACTGGCCTCTTTTTTTCTTAATTTACCAAAAGTTTGTCAGATTTTTTGTTCTTGCCAGAAACCGAACTTTTGGTTTTGTAGATTATTTTTCTATTCTCTATTTAATTTATGGCTGCTCTAATCTCTATCGTTTCCTTCTTTCTGCTTTGTATTTTTTTGTTTTTGTTTTTGTCTTTGTTTTGAGACAGGGTCTTACTTTGTCCCTCAGGCCCAAGTACAGTGGCGCACTCATGGCTCACTGCAGCCTCAACCTCCTGGGCTCAAGTTATCTACCTGCCTCAGCCTCCCAAAGTGCTGGGATTACAGGTGTGAGGCACGACACCTGGCCTAACTTTGGTTTTTATTGTGTTCTTATTTTTTTAGTTCTTCCAGATGTAGAGTTATTGATTTGAGATCATCTTTTGTAAATGCAGACTTTTATAGTATAATTGCCCCTTTTAGCCCTGCTTTTGGCCCAGCACAGAAGTTTTGGTGTGTTGTGTTTTCATTCATCTCATAGTATTTTCTAATTTCCCTTGTGATTTCTTCTTTGACCCACTGATTGTTTACCATGTGTTGTTTAATTTTCATATACTTGTGAATTTTCCACTTTTCCTTTTGTTATTAATTTCTCATCATTTCCTTTTGGTTGGAGAAGGTAACTTGTATGATTTTCGTCTGTTTAAATTTGAGACTTTGTGGCCTAACATATGGTCTGGTCAGTCTAAGAGAGTGTCCTGTGGTATACTTGAGAAGAACGTGTATTCTGCTCTTTTTGGTGAAATGTTCTGTATATGTCTATTAGATCTGATTGGTTTATGGTGGTGTTCTTTGGCTAAAACTGAGATGCTGCAGGGCCAGTTGTCAAAGTCACAGTGAAAAAGCAAGGTTTTCCCAAGCTCTTATAATCACATCAGTTTTAGAGTTCACATTAATCCATTCAAAAATATGTATCAGGCCAGGCTGTAATCGTAGCACTTTGGGAGGCTCAGGCGGGTGGATTGCTTGAGCTCAGGAGTTTGAGACCAACTTGGGCAACATAGCGAAACCCTCTCTCTACAAAAAATACGAAAATTAGCTGGGCATAGTGGTGTGTGCCTGTGGTCCCAGCTACCTGGGAGGCTGAGGTGGGAGGATTGCTTGAGCCAGGGATGCAGAGGTTGCAGTGAGCGGAGATCAAGCCACTGCACTCCAGCCTGGGCTCCAGCCTGGGTGACAGAGTGAAATCCTGTCTTGGGGGTGGGTGGAATCTTTCTATCTGTCTGTCTGTCTGTCTCTCTCTCTCTCTCTATATATATATATATAATTATTTTTTAATTTATATATTATGTTTATATGTTGTATTATGTTAAATATATATTTTAATATGTATATTACAGCTGAAAAGAATCATCTAGTAAGGGTTATATCTGATTTCCTGAGGCCTCATTAGCAACCAAAAGTTGCATTTAAAAATTACAAAAGCATATCTCCATCGAGAAATGGCCTTTTTATGTTGTCTACTTTTCCCCCAGAGGTTCCAATAAGTAAAAATCACAGCACAAATCATTAAGTATGGGGACTTGTTCTGTTGATAATATTCATGTGTTTAAATTTCATCTGGCCCACTGGCTGCAAAAAGCAAGGAAGTTGTGTCTCATGAATATCCGTCTATATTTGCAGCCTGCCCTGATCAGGGTATCCTTCTTATCATTTAAGAAATTATAAACATATAATATTTTATACCAGCTTAATGTATACATCCACATGTAACAGCCACAAAACATAAAGCTATGTAAAATAAAAAAATTCCCCCCGGTTTTGGTTGCAAATTTATTCAAGCCCTTAGCAATACATTCAGTCTTTACAGAGTTAACAGTATAGCTGCCCAGGGGCTCCTGGGAGATCCACCTGGAATGCAACTCCTGTCCCTTCCTTGGGGCCCCTTCCTGGGGGCCCTAAAGTAGCGGCTAGGCTAAAGGAAAGGCTGTTTCTCCTGCTAGTTTATCTAAAGTTTTGCTCCAGCCCTGGGAATTGAATATCCTTTTTTGTTCTCTTGGAAGAGAGAGAAACACAAACTTTTTACATTTTTTGGTCCACCCCAGCCCACCTTTGGGACTGTTTGGATCTTTTTCCCTCCCACCTGGAGGAGAAAACTAAAATCAAGGGAGTTACCAGAACCACACTCCTACCCCCTCTCAGTTTAGCAAGTGGGAAAAGGGGGGTTAAAAATCTAGCCTACTCTCCTAGGGTTAGCGCTCCTATTTTCAGATCCATTGGGAAGTTTTACTTCTCTCAGGTGACAGCAGCTCGGCTTCTGTTTTGTGCTACGGATGACTCTGTAGCCACCCAGGGCACCAATTGTCAGGGGTCTCCAAGACCACCCCCAGGTTTGATGGTTGGCCAGGAGGACTCACAAGACTCAGCATGTAGTTGTACTCAGGGCTATAGTTTATTACAGTGAAGGGACACAGAGCAAAATCATGAAAAAGGACATGGGTAAAGTCCAGAGGAAAGCAGGTACAAGCTTCCACAGGATCCACACAGGACGAGCTTAACTGCCCTGGCACCGAGCCGTGTCAAGTGCTGTCTGCCGGGAAGCTGGGTAGAGACTCCAGGCCCACGGTTTCCATCAGGACTGATCACACGGGCACCCCCTGCCTGGCGTGTACCAAGTTCCAGACTAAGGAAAGCAGGTTTCAGCACAGACCACATTGTTTGTACAGACAGTTCAGGCACAGGGAACCACACCTACCACCTAGGGAATGGGGGAGCCCTCCTGAGATCCAGACTCCAGCTGAGGGCCAGCCTGCAGCAACCCTGTCTGAGGTTGTATCTCGGGCCAGCTGTTAGCTGTCTTCTGCACAGAACCATGATTAAAGTTTGTTAGTTTCCCACTGTTAGATATTTAGGTAGTTATCTTTGTTTTTCTATTAATAAAAAATGTGATGAGGATCTTTCTAACTCAGTTATTTTGCTTTTTTCAGGGGAGTAATTCCTAGAAGTAGAGAAAGTAGCTTTACTGAGCATTTTAATATCTTTTATATCTTCCTAGGATATTTATGTATTTCATCCTTCCGTTTATCTTCTTTTTATCCTATATCAGTAAAATATTCATAATATTATATTGATAAAACATATAGTATGGATTGTTCAAAATTACGATCTTCATTAGTACTTTGTGAATGTTTTGTGTGTATTAAGGGGACACTGTAGCTACTTGTTGGCTCAGCTATTGTTTTTGACGCTCCGTCAGGCCCCAGTTGTGACAGCGTTGAGGAAGATATGAATGCTTCTGCCCAAGGTGCTTCTGCCACAGTTTTGGAAGAAACAAGGAAGGAAACGGCTCCTGTGCAGCTCCCTGTTTCAGGGCCAGAACTGGCTGCCATGATGAAGATTGGAACAAGGGTCATGAGAGGTGTGGACTGGAAATGGGGCGATCAGGTACTCAGAGATTTGATGTGAACACATTAGCCACACATTAGTTATCTTCTGCATAGTTCTGTACGATATTGGTGGGTGGAAATTGGAATAATCCAGGATGTGTCAGTTGATCGATGACACAGGTGTTGGTTCCCGAGCAGCTGAAGGGAGTGAACACAAACAGGGAATCATAAGTAGGGCATCTGAGCAGAATCAAGTCTGGAAAGAGAGGCAGCTCTTTTCAGGAAACTCACTGGCATGAGGCTCAGTTTGATGGGTCACTGGAACAAGAGTGTGAGAGTGAGCAAGAGAGTAAATCTCATTCTGAAAGTTGGTGTAGTGAAGGCTCTGAGGCAGGAAGCCCAGATGCTGCCCCTGTGGGCTGATGGCCATGTGCTGCGAAGTGCCCTGAAGCCAGTAGTTAGGGATCTACTTCATGGGCCTGTGGCCACGTTTCCATCTTCCCTCATCGCAGGTCTCTTCTAAATCTCTGCCAGGTGCCCCCAGGTGGAAGTCACTTACCACAGCCCTAGCTAAGTTAGGGCAGTGTTCACCTTCCCATGGTCTGTCTGGCTTTTCTCAGCCACGCTGGTAAGCCCTGGCTTTGTCACAGTCATCTTAGAAATAGCAGTGTCTGGAGACAGCATCCATCCTAGAAACAGCTTTCTCCTGCAGAAGTGAGAGACAGAGCTTCCCCCTGGGGCCCAGGGGAAACTGAAGCAAAGGGAATGTGGAGGTGCTGGTGCTTGTTTCAGGTTTCCGCTCTTGCAAGGCCCGTGAGGGATTGTGGGGACAGGACTTGCTGCAAAGCCCTGTCTCTGCATTGACTCAGAGGATCCTCATTGAGATGAGATTTCCCCGACTTCCTTGGTAAAGCAGCATGAGCACGTTATTTTATGCCATTTAATTTAAAATGATGCAAGCACACATTTTGTAGGAGAGGTGAAATCTGTGTCTGGGGACAGCCCCTGACAGACAGGGTGGCATATGGCGACATCTGTGTGGCAGGTCTGGTGGGAGCCATGGAAGGACCAGGGCAGGGCACGCACCCTCCTAACTGAGGTCTGGTGGGAGCCATGGAAGGACCAGGGCAGGGCACGCACCCTCCTAACTGAGGTCTGGTGGGAGCCATGGAAGGACCAGGGCAGGGCAGGCACCCTCCTAACTGAGGTCTGCTGGGAGCCATGGAAGGACCAGGGCAGGGCACGCACCCTCCTAACTGAGGTCTGGTGGGAGCTATGGAAGGACCAGGGCAGGGCACGCACCCTCCTAACTGAGGTCTGCTGGGAGCCATGGAAGGACCAGGGCAGGGCATGCACCCTCCTAACTGAGGTCTGCTGGGAGCCATGGAAGGACCAGGGCAGGGCACACACCCTCCTAACTGAGGTCTGCTGGGAGCCATGGAAGGACCAGGGCAGGTTACGCACCCTCCTAACTGATCTCTACTTTGGCTTTCTCAGGATGGGCCTCCTCCAGGCCTAGGCCGAGTGATTGGTGAGCTGGGAGAGGACGGGTGGATAAGAGTCCAGTGGGACACAGGCAGCACCAACTCCTACAGGATGGGGAAAGAAGGAAAATACGACCTCAAGCTGGCAGAGCTGCCAGCCCCTGCACAGCCCTCAGCAGAGGATTCGGACACAGAGGACGACTCTGGTGGGTGACTCAGGAAGGTGTTTAGTCCAAGGCAGCCTACAAACTGTCCAGTTGCTGGGTGCTGCCACTGCCATCTGGGCCTTAGAATGGGATGTCAGGACACACCTGCAGCTGGCGCTCTGTCCTCGGAACCTGTAATTTAAATAAGCTCCCAGGCACCTCCGATGCAGGTGTGTGGAGTGACTGTGGGATCCGGCGATCTGGCTGGAACTGACTTTCTGCATTTTCCTCTCATGTGTGCACCCGCCCCTCTTTGAGAATGTGGTGGCCAGGTGGGGGCAGCTGCATCACCAGTGAGTCTCATGTGGTTGGTGCTGAGCCTGCATCTGAGCGAGTGAGCCGAGGCCTGGTGGAATTGCCCTGCGGTCTCGGTCCATCGCGTCCTCCTCCAGTGAGAGCCCCTGCCCAAGCACACCCCACCTGCCACCTGCCTTTACCTTTCCTCTGTGGTCCCTGACTCTGAACTCTTCATGTAATGTGGAGTTAGTCAGCACTTTATCGCTTCTAGGGAAGCAGAGGTGAGAATTTAGGGGTGGACCAAGAAAGCTAGATCCTATCTGTGGAGATCCAGGTTGTGGGAGGAGGTTTCGTGACATTTCTTAGCTGTTCCTAAAACACGTGAAGCTTCACATGGTTGGGCTTGGTAAGACCATCCAAGAGGCTGGGGCTGCCAATATAATTTGTAATTTTGATTATTTTTTTTAGAAGCCGAACAAACTGAAAGGAACATTCACCCCACTGCAATGATGTTTACCAGCACTATTAACTTACTGCAGACTCTTTGTCTGTCTGCTGGAGTTCATGCTGAGATCATGCAGAGTGAAGCCACCAAGACTTTATGCGGACTGCTGCGAATGTTAGTGGAAAGCGGAACGACGGACAAGACATGTATGGAATGAGAGATCGAGGGCCCAGGGAGTCAGCGCTGGGGGCCGCACGCTTGTCGTGTCTGGGTGTGCATGTGGGTGGGTGTGGATGTGTGTGGATTCCTTTCCTGTGGCTGCTGTAACAAAGTATACAAACTTGGGGACTTACACAGTAGAAATTCTCACGGTTCTGGTGGCTGGAAGGCTGAGATCAAGGGTAGTTCCTTCTGGGGCTGTGAGGGAGAAGCTGCTTCAGGGCTCTGCCCCAGCTTCTGGAGTTTACTGGTCTCTTTAGCGTTCCTCGGCTTGTAGAGGTGTCACCCCTATCTCTGCCGTCATCTTCACATGGCATTCTCCCTGTGTGTGAGTCGCCTCCAAATCTCCCCTTTTCATGAGGACATCATTCAACCTCATCAAACTGATTACATCCGCAGCGACCCTATTTCCAAACAAGGTCACCTGCCGAGGTACGGTAGGGGTTAGGGCTTCAACATACGAATTTTGCAATTCTGAATTCAACCCGTAACACTGGCTTCAAACAACAAATTTGTTCTCTCAGAGTTCTGGAGACCAGAAGTCCCAAATCCAGGTGCGGGCAGGGCCATGCTTCTTCCACAGGCTCTAGGGGAAGGTCCTTCCTTACTTTGTCCAGCTTCTGGGAGCTCCAGGCTTCCTTGGTGTTGGGACGCATTGTGCCAGTCTCTGCCTGCGTCTTCACATGGCCCCTGCCCCTGTGTTCTGCATGTCCTTTTCTGTCTCTGAAAGGACTCTTTCATTGAGTTTCTTTGACTCTAATCCAACATGATGTCACCTAAATTCTTACCTTAATGACGTCTACAGAGACCTCATTAAATAAGATCATATTCTGAGGTTCCGAATGTATGTGAAGTTGGAGGACAGGCACAGTTTAATCCATAAAGTGTTTGTGTGTGTGGAGAGTAAGTATGAGAAATGTGAGCTGAGGGAGTGGGGTGAGTGTGCATGTGACTGAGAGTGAGCACGTGTGAGTGTGGGTGGGTATGTGGGCGTCCTCCAGTGTGTGTGAGAGCATGCGTGTATTAGTGGTGTGCTGGAGCGTCCGCACATATTGATGAGAGTGAGTGTGTTAGCGGTCGATGGGCAAGTGGCTGAGCGTTTGTGTTGCAAGTGTGATGGTGTGTTTGTAGCATGTGGTTGTGTGGGTGTGTGTATGTCCATGAGAGCATGTGAGTGGGCAGGTGACTACATTCAGGTGAAGTGGGAGTGAAAGCGTCGGTGCATTGAGCCAATGTGTGTGTGTGAGGGTGAGCACGAGGGAGGCATGAGTGTGAGTGTGAGGGGATTACTGGGTGTGCGAATGAGACACCCAGTGTAAGTGTAAGTCAGTGAGGGTTGGTGAGTGTGAGGAAGTATGAGTGGGTGGCAGGCACAAGTGTAAGTGTGCGATTGAGTGTGAGCATTTGTGTAAATGTGTATGAGTGCCTTGTGTCAGTGTGAGCACGAGTGATGTTATTGTGAATGCGTGTGAGTGAATGTGAGCATTTTGCTTGTGTCAGTGAATGGGAGGTTATAACAGTATAGGTGTGAGTGTAAAGTGAGAAAGTGTGTGGGTAAAGGTGTGAGTGGGTGAGTAATCGGTCATTACTAGTGTTGAGGAGTGTGAGTGCATATGTGAGTTTTTGTATGCATTGGGAGGGGTAAGTGTATGTGAGAGTGCATGGGAGTGTGTGTCAGCTTGCATCTGTTTGTGCATACGTGTGACTGGGATTGTGTGTGTGTTAGTGATTGCGACAGTGGTGTGAGTGCACCTGAAAGTGTGAGGGTGGGTGTATGAGTGCCCATGAGTGTGTCTGAATAACTTAGTATCAGTGTGAGTGTGAGGATGCATATGAGGGTGTGAGAGTGAGTGTGTGTGTGTGTGTGAGCGCATGTGAGTGTGCTGAAGGAAGGCAGGTGTCCTCATAAGCTTGGATAGCTGAGGGCAGGGTGGGGGAGGTGGGAGGGAGAGCAGGTCCTGTGGGGCTGTGGGCGGGGTCCCTCAGGGGGCCCAGCCTCCAAGCCTCAGCTTCCATTGAGGGAGTAGTGGAGTCCTGGAGCCAGGCGGAGCAGAGGTGGGCCCACTGGTGCCAGAATCCAGTGGTGTAAACCTAGTGAAAAACTCATTTTGTTAATGCAGATGCATTAAACTTGGATTGGAAACTGTCTCTACTAAAATTACAAAAAGAGTATTTAAGTGGTGCAGATTAAATATAACCAAGATTGTGGAGATATTTAAAACACGAAATTAAAAATATAATAGATGCACTGTTGCAAATTACTATTTGAATTATAGATCATTTTCCTATTGCCTAGAAACAATGCATAGCTAAAATTCCCTAACTACTTTTACGACACATACTTAGAAGGTTTTAAAAATGCCTGTAGTCCCAGCTATTCGGCAGGGCAAGGCAGGAGAATCACTTGAGCCCAGGAGTTTTAGACCAGCCTGGGCAACACAGTGAGGGCCCTTCTCTAAAAAAAACAAAAAAAAAAGAAAACTTCGGAAATGTTTCTTGAACTAACTTAAAAGCCGCCTTCCACTTCTCACTTTGAATTAGTTTGAATTAATTTACAAACTGCAATATATTTTAAAGGAGCTTATTGTAGAAAATAAGTTGATAAAAAAATAAGGATATATATATCTTTAGGGATTTGTCTTTAGGGACTTGTTACCAAGCATGTCTATTTTCCCTCCCGCAGCTTCTCCAAACAGGCTGGTGTACAGGGAGCAACACCGGAGCTGGTGCACGCTGGGGTTTGTGCAGAGCATCGCTCTCACGCTGCAGGTGTGCGGCGCCCTCAGCTCCCCGCAGTGGATCACGCTGCTCATGAAGGTTGTGGAAGGGCACGCACCCTTCACTGCCACCTCGCTGCAGAGGCAGGTAATGTGCTGCCAGGCAAAACCAGTTCCCTGAGAGAGGCCTCCATGTACTGAAGTTCCCTGCCCTCAGAGTCAGGGGCCTTTATTCCGTAACGAGTGCAGAAAGGGTCTAGAAGTGACAGGGTAGATTTTCTGGAGGCAAGGGGCAGAGGTCCTTGATAATTGGTAAGTTGCTAACCTTCAGTTTACCTGCTTTTCTCTTAAGTGGTAAATCCTGCAACTACTTACTCATCTGCTTCACAGAATTTGTAGTGTAATTGTCTTAAGAATTAAACTAAAAATAATTCTTTTTTAATTAAACACATGCATCTGTAATGTTGCTTTTTTCTAAAGTCCCTGACAATCCTAATCACTAATCAACTTGAGTGTAATTACCTGGCTGTAAAATAATGAATCTCAAAATTTTCACATGATTACTTGCATTATGAGAACAGAAAATAAAGAGAGGCTGGGCGCAGTGGCTCATGCCTGTAATCCCAGCACTTTGGGAGGCAGAGGCAGGTGTATCATGAGGTCAGGAGTTTGAGACCAGCCTGGCCAACATAGTGAAATCCTGTCTCTACTGAAAATCCAAAAAAAATGAGCCGGGCTTGGTGGTGAGTGCCTATAATCCCAGCTACTCAGGAAGCTGAAGCAAGGAGAATCGCTTGAACCTGGGAGGTGGTGGTTGTAGTGAGCCAAGACCGTGCCACTGCACTCCAGCCTGGGCGACAGTGCGAGACTCTGTCTCAAAAAAAAAAAAAAAAAGAAAATAACAATCTGTAGTTTCCTCATCAGATTTTTTTTAATGCTTGTCATTTTAAATTTTCTTTTATCAGATCTTAGCTGTGCATTTGTTGCAAGCAGTCCTTCCGTCATGGGACAAGACCGAAAGGGTGAGGGACATGAAATGCCTCATGGAGAAGCTGTTTGACTTCTTGGGGAGCTTGCTCACTATGTGCTCCTCTGACGTGCCGTTACTCAGAGGTGGGTGGCCGTCTCCCTTCCCTGTACCCTGGTGAAGAGCGGTGCAGTGCCGTCACTCAGAGGTGGGTGGCCGTCTCCCTTCCCTGTGTCCTGGTGAAGAGCGGTGCAGTGCCGTCACTCAGAGGTGGGTGGCCGTCTCCCTTCCCTGTACCCTGGTGAAGAGCGGTGCAGTGCCGTCACTCAGAGGTGGGTGGCCGTCTCCCTTCCCTGTGTCCTGGTGAAGAGCCGTGTAGTGCCGTCACTCAGAGGTGAGTGGCCGTCTCCCTTCCCTGTGCCCTGGTGAAGAGTGGTGCAGCAGCTTCTCCCCTGGTTTCCTCCTCAGAGTCCACGCTGAGGCGGCGCAGGGTGTGCCCGCAGGCCTCGCTGACTGCCACCCACAGCAGCACACTGGCGGAGGAGGTGGTGGCACTGCTGCACACGCTGCACTCCCTGACTCGGTGGAATGGGCTCATCAACAAGTACATCAACTCCCAGCTCCGCTCCATCACCCACAGCTTTGCGGGAAGGCCTTCCAAAGGGGTGGGTTTGTGTTCTCAGAATTAATTTAGTTGAACAGTAAACCTGTAGGGATTGGGCAGCTCCGTGAGTGTCCCCGGTCGAGCTCGCTGTTTGGTCTGCACTAGGCCCAGTTAGATGACTACTTCCCTGATTCCGAGAACCCTGAAGTGGGGGGCCTCATGGCGGTCCTGGCTGTGGTTGGAGGCATCGATGGTCGCCTGTGCCTGGGCGGCCAAGTTGTGCACGATGACTTTGGAGAAGTCACCATGACTCGCATCACCCTGAAGGGCAAAATCACCGTGCAGTTCTCTGACATGCGGACGTGTCGCGTTTGCCCATTGAATCAGCTGAAACCAGTAGGTGAACTTGTGCTTAGTTACTGCATGATAAGGGAAATTGACTTTACACTAGAACCGAGCACCAACATCAGCACTTGAAAGAACTTGATTCTGGTACTTGAAGTTTGCCTTCCAGGAAGCTGTGCGAGCTTGTGCTTCTGTGGTAAGCAGGGCCTGTCTCACAGGGCACTTAAAGCAGTGGTTCGTGTGTATTTCAGCCTCAGAGACACGAAGAGGGCTTTAGCAACCTAGAAGGTACCGTGCATCTATGAGGTAGTTCTAATTATTTTAAAATGTGAATTTATGAAGTTTACTTTTTATTCAACAACTCAAGTTTTAAAAAAACAAACATGTTTAAACACCTTTAAAAAAACAGCCTTTCTTCATGTAGAAAATGCTTAGTAGTTTTGAGTGACGTGACTTAATGTAGCAGCTACTGTCATCTTAATCTGTGAATCAAGGATGCACAGGGAGAAGGAGCCATTTACATTATTTTGATGTAGCCCAAGTGCAATCTTACTATATATTCTTTTTCTTTTTTATTTTGAGATGGAGTCTTGCTCTTGTCACCCAGGCTGGAGTGCAATGGCACAATGTTGTCGGCCCTCTGCAACCTTTGCCTCCCGGGTTCAAGCGATTCTCCTGCCTCAGCCTCCTGAGTGTCTGGGATTACGGTGTGTGCCACCACGCCTGGCTAATTTTGTATTTTTAGTAGAGATGGGGTTTCACTATGTTGGCCGGGCTGGTCTCAAACTCCTGACCTCAGGTGATCCGCCCGCCTCGGCCTCCCAAAGTGCTGGGATTACAGGCGTGAGCCACCGTGCCCGGCCTGACTATATTTTCTATAAAGTACTCTTTTTTATTATTATAGGAATATATACATGTTGTAGAAAACTTGAAGTATATAGAAAATATCTGAGAAGATAGTAACCACCACACTGATGTAATTATTGTTGACAGGTTTGTAAAGAAAAATTAATATAGATTATACTTATTATATGTGTAAATCTCTATCCTGCCTTTAATGTCATTTTAAAAAATGATTATTCTCAGCTATAAAAAGGCTTACGGGTATGTGTGGCATTTCAGGATTAAGCCCATGGTTTTGATGACTTTCAGAACGTTTCATTTGTTAGTCATATTGGCCACACTCTGACAGCTTCTGTGTCCTCTCCAGCTCCCTGCCGTGGCCTTTAATGTGAACAACCTGCCCTTCACAGAGCCCATGCTGTCTGTCTGGGCTCAGTTGGTGAACCTCGCTGGAAGCAAGTTAGAAAAGCACAAAATAAAGAAATCGACTAAACAGGCCTTTGCAGGTCAGTACATGGCGCTTCTTGATGAAATAGCTGCCGTCTTAAACTCGTGTGGTTTGTACAGTGTTCTTTTATGAGTGAATTCACGGACGTACTAAAGTCCTGGGGTTCACGTGGGCTCACCATTTGTTGAGTTGCGGTTGGGAATGTAACCCTGTGTTCGTGGTAATGAGTATTTTCGAGTCAGCCTTTGTCGCCATGTTCGGAGCCACACTTGAAGAACCCCATGGCTCACACCCTCTTCTCCGTGTCACCCTTTATCCCGGAAGAGAAGTCTGTTCACCTCTTCCCTCCTCCCCTCCATCCCAGGGCCCTGTGGCCCCGTCACCCTGTTGGACCATGGCTCACAGCCTGTTCTCTGCCGGATCCAGGGGCCTCTGTCCCGGAAGCGCCTGGCTTGCCTGTGACATTCAGGATGGCTAAGACTGTGACTGTAGCCTGGCTTGGCTTTGCCTTCCTTCGGGTCTAGAAGGCGGTTCTCCTGAGTTTGTTTCCATGTTTCTAGGGAGCTCTTCTCTCTGCTCATTCTTTATGTCCTGGAAGTCTGTGTGGCTTCACCCATAACTATGGCGTATTCTGCCCAGTCTTCTTGAGTTTTCTCCCCTCTTGCTCCCACAGACCTACGATTGCTGCTTCAGCATTTATGATGTAAGCACTTTCAACTCTGGATCTCCCATTCACATCTCTGGTTGGAGGTGCAGTGCATGCAAATCACCACATGTCCGAAATTCAGCTGGCTGGCATTCTCTAGTAGCTGCCGTTTCCCATCGTGGTGAATAAAACTGTCTGCCAGTTAGTTGAGCCAGTGTCCGAGCGGCACCTGCGGCCCTCCTTCCTTCCCACCCCATGCTCTCTGTGCTGCTTCTGCGGCCTCTGCTATCAGATAAGCCTTGGGCATTGCTGCGATCTTCATCAGTTAAAGAGCTAGTGGGGCTGACAGATTCTCTCAGAGGAGTCTTAGAAGAAGAGTGGAAGCGGCTGAAACTTCAGCAACTTGGGGAACATTTGATCATATTAATAGTAGCTAACATGGTTCTAACCGTGTTAAACCCATTGAATCCTGCGTCCTATCAAGTTAGGTGCCTGGAGAGCAGGGAAGGAAGACCCAGGAGGCAGAAGATGCTTACCCAGAAGCACCGAGTGTAACTCTGGGAAAGGCAAGCCCTTCGTCACGGACAGTGTGTGCGGTCGGCAGATTCCTGAAGGGCAGAGCGTTACTCGTCGCCATGTGGCGGAGGCTTGCTGCTGGCGAGGAGGGAGTCTGAGCAGGGCACGCCCTTCTCACTGAGTCTTTCCTTCCGCAGGACAAGTGGACCTGGACCTGCTGCGGCGCCAGCAGTTGAAGCTATACATCCTGAAAGCAGGTCGGGCGCTGTTCTCCCACCAGGATAAACTGCGGCAGATCCTGTCTCAGCCAGCTGTTCAGGAGACTGGAACTGTTCACACAGGTGTCTTTTTAAAAAGTTCTTAAATCTTTATAAGAAGGGCAGTAGAAAGTAGACAAAGGAAGTGAATAATCAGTTCATAAAAATGGACATAGGTGGCTTATAAATGTACAAAACAGACACGTGGCCTGCCCAGCAACCACCAACTGTGAATAAAATTGTCATCGTCATCTTATAAGACAAGACTGAGGGCATCTGGTGGGTGGGGAGGGAAAAAGGTATTTTCATGCCTTCCCATTTAAAGTGTGCTGCATGGGTCAGCAAGATTGGTGGCACGCAGGTATGTGTTAGAAATGCAGACTCCCAGGCTGCACCCCAGACCAAAGAAATAGAGCCTGTATTGTAACAAGATGAACCTAAGCTGGTTCTTCAAATGCGCGTAAAGCCGCACTCCATGAACAGGCTGCTGCTGGGAATTTCAGTTGGTGTAGCCATCTAATGGGCGTCTGAGGAAATGAGTTGGACTTTGAAATGCATAGATGTATGTATGTATTTATATACTTTGGCCCAGCAAGTCATTCTGTGGGACTTTATCACACGAAAAGGCATGTAAAGATAATGTATTCACCACCTGGGCACAGTGGCTCATGCCTGTAATCCCAGCACTTTGGGAGGCCGAGGCGGGCGGATCACGAGGTCAGGAGATAGAGACCATCCTGGCTAACACGGTGAAACCCCATCTCTGCTAAAAATACAAAACATTAGCTGGGCAAGGTGGCAGACGCCTGCAGTTCTAGCTACTCGGGAGGGTGAGGCAGGAGAATGGCATGAATCTGTGAGGCGGAGCTTGCAGTGAGCTGAGATGGCGCCACTGCACTCCAGCCTGGGCAACAGAGCAAGACTCTGTCTCAAAAAAAAAAAAAAAAAATTGGCGGGGCATAGTGGTGGCTGCATGTAATGCCAGCTACTTGGGAGGCTGAGGCAGGAGAATCACTTGAACCGGGGGGTGCGGAGGTTGCCGTGTGTGCGGATTGCAGGGTGCAGATTGTGCCACTGCACTCCAGCCTGGGTGACAGAGTGAGACTTCGTCTCAAAAAAAATAATAAATAAAAATAATGTATTCAACAGTGTCGTTATGGCCTCCTTTTTGGTATTGTTTTTGTATTGAAAAACTGTAGACACCAAAATACCCATTCTTATGTTGTGTATCCGTACAGTGTGATATCATGGTGCCATTCAAAATGATGGTACATGTATAGTCTTCCCTCAATATCCATGGGGATGAGTTCCAAGACCCCCAGTTATACCAGAATTCACTAATGCTTAAGGCCCTTCTATAAAATGGTGTAGTATTTGCATATAACCTATGCACATCCTCCGAAATACTTTAAAAATATAAATGATATATAGGCTGGGTGCGGTGGCTCACGCCTGTAATCCCAGCACTTTGGGAGGCTGAGGTGGGCAGATCACGAGGTCAGGAGATTGAGACCATCCTGGCTAACACGGTGAAACTCCATCTCTACTAAAAATACAAAAAATTAGCTGGGCGTGGTGACGGGTGCCAGTAGTCCCAGCTACTTGGGAGGCTGAGGCAGGAGAATGGCATGAACCCAGGAGGCGGAGCTTGCAGTGAGCCGAGATCGTGCCACTGCACTCCAGCCTGGGTGACAGAGCGAGACTCTGTCTCAAAAAAATAAATAAATAAATAAAAATAAAATAAAATAAATGATATGTAAATAGTTGTTATTGCTATTCTTTTTAAAATTATATTTTAAAAAATTGTTTTATTCTGAATATTTTTGATGTGTGGTTTGTTGAATCTTTGGATGCAGAACCCATGGATACGGAGGGCTAGCTGTATATGTTTATTGCTGTGGAAACATGAAAACAGTAAGTGAACAGAAAAGCACACTGCTATGTATATCCGTTTATAGATATGCCATAGTTATCTGTTTAGCAAAACAGTGACCCAGTAATCTTTGGTGGAATTTTGGCTGTCTTTATTTTCTTTATATTTCTCTATATTTAGTTTTCTAGAATGAGCTTGTGTTACTTTTAATAGAAAAAAACATTTTTTGATCTCCAACTATTGAAAGACATTATGCTAAGTCTTTTGCGGAGAAGTCCTTTTCTATGATCATTGCTCTCTAGGGTTTGGATGAGGAGAGGAAGTGAATGCAGATGGCTCTCTTTGTTCTCTGGGGCCAGGGGGCGGTGAGGCATGTGAGTGGTTCCACAGGCGTCTGGAGCCAGTGGCAGCTGAGCACTGGACGGGCAGCCTTTGAAGGCTGTGGCAGACAGATGCCAGCAGACAAGCACTCTGCTGGTGGTGGAGGCAGGAGGAGAGGAGTGAACGTGGTGAGTCTTTGGAAGCACGTTGAGCAGCTCTCCTCTTCTTGGAGCTCAGGGTTTTTCGATGAGTGGTGGGGCTGAAGCTAGATGGGCAGCTGACATCCTGTTACAGAGTACCTGGGAGACCAGGGTGAAACTTGAGGCCCACTTGGAAAGCTGTGGTAGGGGCCACATGGTAAGCATTGACCTTCGGGTGATACACCTGCTAGGAAGGTATAGGAGTATCTGAAACAGGAGATGACAGAGATGGAGAATTGCTCCTGCGTCAGGTGATGAGGGGGAAGGCATGAAAAGGGAAAGAAGGTTCTGGTGGAAGGAAGGTGCCATCCACTGTGATGGTGTAGTCTTGTAGATGATAACTTTATGGGGAACCAGCAAAAAGTGGAAGGTGACTGCTGTTTCAAGCTTGAGTTGAGGGAGGAATATTGAGTAGTGTGTTTGAAACAAATAAGCAAGTCCAGTAGAATGTGGAGTGTGTGCGTTTGCTTCTTAAGAGGAGAGGATGCTATGAAATTAATTTTAAACCTGCTGAGGATGAAAGAAATCAATTGAAAGTATAGAATCAATTAATAGTAGAGGTCGTAGGGAACATGAAGATTTCCCAGTTGTAGAGATTGGGAGATTGGAGCCTGGGAATTGGATTGGCTGTTCTGTTCTGCACTCAGCCCGATGAGCAATTACAGCAGACCTGAATCAGGATGATCAAGTCTGTGCTTTGGGCCGAGCAGGGACTCCGAACAGAGCTAGATTGACAAAACTGCCATGCACCTGTTTTTGTAAATTTTTATGGGAACACAGGCACACCACTTGTTTACACATCGTCTCTGGATGCTTTTGCTCTGCAATGGCAGAGCTGAGTAGTTGGGACAGAGACTGTACAGCCCATCAGCCTAAACTATTTACTCTCTGGCCCTTTAAGAGAAAGATTTCCAGCTCCTGGTCTAGTTAGTTGAAATTGTCACTGAAGAAAACCAGCACATGCAAATGCTGTGAGTACCTGGATGAGTACCTAGATGTGTGAAGTGGGCTTGAGCGCAGTGGATCTCCCTGGGGCTGTGTCAAACAGAGTCCTAAAGGCTGCACCTAAAGCTACTCATAACAGACAAAAAGCCATCACCCTGAGCACATGTCACATTTGGACTTGGGGTCACTTAATGATCTCAACAAGGCTTAGCTGGAAAAGCTACAGCTAGAAATATGCACGTGGGATGTGTCTGTGTCAGGGGTTACTGAAGCCGTGAGTGAACATGAAAGAGAGTGTGTAGGTCAGGCATGGTGGCTTACGCCTGTAATCCCAACACTTTGGGATGCCGAGGCGGGTGGATCAGGAGTTGGAGACCAGCCTGGCCAACATGGTGAAATCTAATCAACAGCCTGGCCCCATCTATACTAAAAATACAAAAATTAGCTAGGCGTGGTAGCATGTGCCTGTAGTCCCAGCTACAGGGAAGGCTGATGCAGGAGAATCACTTGAGCCAGGAGGCAGAGGTTGCAGTTTGCCAAGATTGTGCCACTGCACTCCAGCCTGGGCAACAGAGTGAGACTCCATCTCAAGAAAAAGAGAAAGAATCAGACCAAGTGCAGAAATCTGGGAAGGAGCATTTGCTGGCTCTAAGAGACAGATGCACTAATGAAGGACAGAGACCAAAAGCAGGCAGTGAAAGTGGTTTAGAGTCTAGTTCCTTTTTTTTTTTTTTTTTTTGAGATGGAGTCTCGCTCTGTTGCCAGGCTGGAGTGCAGTGGCGTGATCTTGGCTCACTGCAACCTCCAACTCCCTGGTTCAAGCAATTCTCCTGCCTTAGCCTTGCGAGTAGCTGGGATTACAGGCACGCACCACCATGCCCAGCTAATTTTTTTTTTTTTTTTTTTTTTTGAGACCGAATCTTGGTCTGTCGCCCAGGCTGGAGTGCAGTGGCGTGATCTCGGCTCACTGCAAGCTACGCCTCCCAGGTTCATGCCATTCTTCTGTGTCAGCCTCCCAAGTAGCTGGGACTACAGGTGCCCACCACCATGCCCGGCTAATTTTTTTGTGTTTTTAATAAAGATGAGGTTTCACTGTGTTAGCCAGGATGGTCTCGATCTCCTGACCTCGTGATCCACCCGCCTTGGCCTCCCAAAGTGCAGGGATTACACGCGTGAGCCACCGCACCCAACCTAGAGTCTAGTTTTTGTTCGATGTCTGAACCTTGAAGATTTTGGTTTTCTATCACATAATGAGGCAGAAGTCATACCTGATTTAACATGCTTAATGCATTTTCTTTAATAGTAAAGTGGTGTTCGCAGTTGAAAATAGAATCTTACACATATTTTGTTTTTAAATTCAGATGATGGAGCAGTGGTATCACCTGACCTTGGGGACATGTCTCCTGAAGGGCCGCAGCCCCCCATGATCCTCTTGCAGCAGCTGCTGGCCTCGGCCACCCAGCCGTCTCCTGTGAAGGCCATATTTGATAAACAGGAACTTGAGGTACAGCCATGCAGCCTTGACAGTTTTTAATCCACAGCACTAAATTGTGAACACTTTTTTTCTAGGTGTATATTTTCTTAAGGATCTATTCTGAATGTTAAATGATAGTACGCAAATAATTCTAATGATTCATTGGGGTTTAACCATGTTTGTGCATAGTCTGCAGAACATTATAATACTAAAGACTGAGAGGGTTGAAGTTTAACCTTATTTTGGGTTTGTGTAAATTGTGAAAAAATATTAACTAGATGCAGCATGGGTTAAACGCTCACATCTTCATGAAGGGATCTTTTTCCAGGAAGTAGAATTATTCAAAGAGGCTCGTCAGGACTCTGGCAGCCGTTTGTTTCATTCACTCAGGAGCCTCTTGGGGGTGCTCTGGTGCCGCCAGCCTCTCCGCTCTCTCCATGCTGTGGAGCAGGTGAGGGCAGCAGCGAGGCACAGGGTCAGGGCTACGGGACGTTCGCATAGAGGAGGCGACGTGATTGAGTGTAAGAGGGATGGGAGCTTTCATGGCTGGCAACATAGAGGATTAGAGATGTTCATTCCAAAATCTTTCTTGCTGTGTAATACATTAAAAATCTGGACAAAATATCAGAGACAAAAATAAAACTATCAGTACTCAGTTTGGCAATCAGAAATTACCCTAACAGAAACCCTCAGATAGCAGGGCCCTTCTGGGAGCAAGGGTCCAGATGAGGCAGCCACTGCCTTGGACAGGTGGGAGGCCTCCCCCAATCCTAGAACGAGCTGGAAAGATGGTGGGGGTGCAAAGGGAGAAAGCAAGAAACGGGTGTGGGCAGGAAGGGAGGAGGTTGGCCATGAGCTCTTCTGAACTCCAGCTTCTTCTCAGGTCTGGGAACCTCCAAGGTGAAGGTTCATTTTAAAGGGCCTGGTTGTGTTTCCAGTCTCCCTGGCAGAGATCAAAAGACGCTGAGCAACTTGAGAGCACGTGGGGCGGTGCACGTGCTCCCTGCAGTCATGCTGGGAGATGCCGAGTGTGAACACCTAGAAGGCCGTGTAGAGTTGTTCTTCAGGAACTGAGAAGGACTGTTGTACAAAAAAAGACCTTCCGCTGTTTTGTCTCCATGGATTCCGATGGAGAGTCGTTGTTCTCATCTCTTCTTTTGTATGAAATGTCTGTTTTCTCTGGTTGCTTTTCGTATTTTGTGTTATCTTTGGTTTTCTGCAGTTTCCCTAAGCTGGGCTCATGTATGCAATGGTGGCCCACCCCGCCCACCCCACCATCCTCCTTGAAATTTATTTAAGCTGCTTGCATCTTTGGCTTGATTTTTGTTCCCCTACCAAATTTGGAAACTTTTGACTGCTGTTTTTTTCCCCGTCTTGCTCTTTTTGTTCTTTTCTGGAAATACTATTATACATCTGTTACACGGTTAGTGAGTTTCCTTTTATGACTTTAATAGAAAGTCTTTCTTCTCCTTGTTAGTAGCTTGGTTAGTTTGTCTTGATCTGTTTGAAAGGTCAAGATGCTTTGCTTTGTTGGGCCTAATCTGTTGTTATATCCATCCAAGACATACTTTATTTTATATTTCTCACATCTCTTATTTCCATTTGGCTCTCATTTAATAGTTTTATATCTCTTCTGACAGTTCCTTTCTTCATCCTTTAAGTCTATCTTTTTTTTTTTTTTTTTTTTTTTTGATGGAGTCTTGCTCTGTCACCAGGCTGGAGTGCAGTGGCGTGATCTCAGCTCACTGCAACCTCTGACTCCTGGGTTCAGGTGATTCTCCTGCCTCAGCCTCCCGAGTAGCTAGGACTACAGGTGCCTGCCACCATGCCTGGCTAATTTTTGTATATTTAGTAGAGATGGGGTTTTACCATGTTGGCCAGGCTGGTCTCGAACTCCTGACCTCATGATCTGCCCGCCTCAGCCTCCCAAAGTGCTGGGATTACAGGTGTGAGCCACCGTGCCTGGCCAAATCTATCTTTTGCTGTACATTTTAAAACATATTTCTGATAGTTATGTTGAATTTCTTGTTTGCTAATTCTAACATCTGCCCACCTGTTGGTCTGCTGCTCTTTGCAGTTTTTTTCCCTTGATTATAGTCAGTTATTGGTTGTTGTCCTTCACATATGAGAATTTTTATTTCATTCTGGATTCTTTGGACGTTACATTGTATTGGCTCTGGGTTCTGCCTCCTCTGGAGAATGGGGAGTTTTCTTCTCACAGGCAGTTCAGTACCTGGCAGTCCTCCTTGATCCTGAGGTGGCTTGGTGCCAGGCTTTCTAATGATTTTTTATTTGCCCTTAGCCCTGGTTGTGGATCCTTAATTCTCAAGGATTTAGAATCTCTTCTGGGCGTCACTGGAAGCCTTGACATTCTCCTCCCCACCTCTAGTTGGTTGAGCTTGAGCCTCAGATGCTGTCCTGGCCCTGGGCAGCTGGGGAGCCCCTGCAGCCTTCCAGCGGTCCCTTTGTGCCGAGCGCAGGCTCTTCAGTGGTGCTTCAGTTTAGATTCAGCTGTAGATTTGCGGGTAGTCCGTCCGCATATTTCGTGGTTTTCCCTCTGTGGTTTCTTTCTCAGGCGGGCTTTCCCTCACATTCTGGTTGCTCTGGCAGGCCGGGACCCCAGCCCCTGCAGTGCAGGAAGGTGCGCCGTCTGTGGTTAAATGCGCGTCTTACCTGCAGGCTTCTCGGGGTCAGGGGTTGTGCTTGTTTTATTGCTGATTGCGTCAGCTGTTCTCCAGTGCCCTCAAGCAGTTTTAAAAAATATTTTATCCAGAGTTCATGATTATTATCAGCCAAGGGTTAGTCCAATGCACCCTAACTCCCCATTATCAGAACCAGAACTCTTGGCTCAATCTGGCTCTGAATTTTAAACTTTTAGGATGAAACCTGTCACTTCCAAGTTACCCAGACTTCGCTGCAAAACCCTAGGCTTTGATACTTCCTGAGCACCGGGGGGCTCCACAGTGTCCTCGGTTTCTTCCTGATTCCTTCCTCACATGCTCCGTTTAACAAAATAGCAAGTCAGTGCTATGAGAGCAGCTGGGGAGGAGGACCAGGGAGTTGCAGACAGATCAGGGAAGTGCTATTTGTGCTGTAGGTGGGGAGTTCCCAGCTGTAGAGACTGGCAGTTTAGATGTTCACTGATTCATTGCAGTGTGTTTCCCAACTAATACTCTTTTATTTCTCTTACTTTTTAATACCTTGTTTAACCTCACTGTGGTTATTTAACCCTTGAATAGTTGAGGGTTGTTTTAATGGTACATGAGAGTCCTGTGTCATTTCTGGCCTGTCTAAAACACAGGTGCCTGTGGCCGCCACCACAGTGCCTGGTTAAGGCAGGGGAAATGCCTTTCTCCCTGCTCCCTCAAGCCCCTGTGACTGCTCGCTTAGGGCTGTAATGAAGTTTTCCTTAATGGACATTGATACTTGGCTAATTTAGTAGGCTCTCTGTCTGCTGAAACAGGCAAGTTATTTTACCACCAAGTATTTTCTCTGCATTAAACTGCGAAACTTGGCTTTGTCATTTTCTAACATGTTTTAGGAACTCATTGAAAAACGCACATGTGAATGTGGGCTTTCTAGACTTGCATGATGCCCCATGTTCCTAGACTGTGTAAGCTAGCCGAGGGCACTTCCCAAACCTCCCAGGACCCTCTTGTCTGCCCAGACTGCTGCACTGGCCGTTGTGGAGTCCACTCACCCTTCGAGCCCAGGATTTGAAGACTGCAGCTCCAGTGAGGCCACCACGCCTGTCAACGTGCAGCACATCCGCCCTGCCAGAGTGAAGAGGCGCAAGCAGTCACCCGTTCCCGCTCTGCCGATCGTGGTGCAGCTCATGGAGATGGGATTTCCCAGAAGGAACATCGAGTTTGCCCTGAAGTCTCTCACTGGTGCTTCCGGGAATGCGTCCGGCTTGCCTGGTACTTCGTTTTCCTGGCCTCTGCTTGTACGTGTGTGGGTTCCCGCTTCAGGGCTGTTGACTCACAGTGGCTGGTGTGCTGTGTGTGCCTCTCTTAGGTGTGGAAGCCTTGGTCGGGTGGCTGCTGGACCACTCCGACATACAGGTCACGGAGCTCTCAGATGCAGACACGGTGTCCGACGAGTATTCTGACGAGGAGGTGGTGGAGGACATGGATGATGCCGCCTACTCCATGGTCAGTGCCTCCCATGTGACCGCCCGCACCTGGGCCGCTGTCCGTCTAGCGCTCTAACAGTCTTACACCTTGGCTTTCTCTGTCCCTTGAAAGAATTAACTATATCTACTGTGGACTGTTTCATAAAACCAACCTATGGTGTTGCCGGGCACAGAACAAAGCTGTGTTTCACTACTGAAGGGATGATTGGGTTTCTATATCATAATTACTTTTAGCTTCAGAACAGACCCTTGTTCAAACATCTCATGATCTTCGGTAGCCATTAGAGGATATTTTATTAAAATACCATGTTTTGACACATCAGTTTCTGACCTGAGTAAATTGTTCATAGGATTAATTTGGAAGTGCCTTGGAAATTTTGTATACTTGTAGCTTTTGAGATTCATTTCTGCCTACTATGCTACTGCTATTAGTCTTTTTTAAATGAAGATTTTTATAGAGAAAATAAAGGATTTCATCCTTTACTTTTTAATATTATAGATTTCACAGACATTTCTTTTTGAGTAGATTTATTGAGTTCTCCTTTTTTTTTTTCTTTGAATGTATTTATTTCTTGTAGTCTACTGGTGCTGTTGTGACGGAGAGCCAGACGTACAAAAACCGAGCTGGTTTCTTGGGTAATGATGATTATGCTGTATATGTGAGAGAGAATATTCAGGTGAGTAATTGTCTTAAGCTGGAGCCTCGATCCGTTTTTCACTCAGCAAATATTTGGGTATGTCCTATATGCCAAACATCAGTGGACAGAGGCCCCTGCCCTCAGGGAGCCTGCCTTCTGGTGCTGGAAGACATACCTGACCAGTGAGCTCATGGTACGCTAGAAGGTGCTGTGTACCCTGGAATGAGAGAGAGCAGACTACAGTAAAGGGGTGGGAGTGAGGGCACAGTCCAGGGATCGGGATCTGCAATGAGAAGGTGAGATGGGTGCAAAGCCTACAGGGTGTGAAGGGTGGCTGAGCAGGATGGGCACCCAGACAGAGGCTGCTGTGGCTGCCCCGGTGTAGCCAGAGGACAGAGGGGCAGATGGGCTCAGGGGCAGCCGGAGAGCACAAGTGGCCTGTCCACGGTGGACATGGCGCAGGGATGGCTGTTTTCTACTAGCCCCACTTGTGACACTTCCTACATACCTTTCCTTGTTTTTCTTATGTAATTCTCATTGCCATCAAACTTTAAAAATCTAATTATGTTTTATATAGTCCTTTATCTACTTTAAATCATTTCTTGTCCTAATTCTCTTGTTTTAGTATATTTTAGAGAAAATCCCCCAAATCATCTCATTTCACCTGTATATATGTCAGTGAGTATCACTAATAAAGAATCTTAACATAATGACATTTCTGTTTACCAGCATTACCTAACAAAATAAATAATAATTCCTTAATATCATCTCATATCTAACGCTTGCTTGTAGTTTTCCAGTTTTCTCAGAAATGGCTTTAATGGTTAGTTTTTGAACTTGGATAAACCAAGATTGTATGCCTTATCTGCATTTGGTTGATGGATCTTTGAAGTCTATTCCAAGCTAGAGTGGTTCCCCCTTGTCTTAGCTCAGTTGGCTATAACACAGTACCATAGACTGGCAGCTTCAACAACAGACATTTATTTCTCATGGTTCTGGAGGCTGGAAATCCAAGATCAAGGTACCAGCTTGGCTGGATTCTGGTGATGGCCCTCTTCCTGGCTTGTAGGTGGCTACCTTTTTTTTTTTTTTTTTTTTTTTTGAAACAGAGTCTCGCTCTGTCACCCAGGCTGGAGTGCAGTGGCGTGATCTCAGCTCACTACAAGCTCCGCCTCCCGGGTTCCTGCCATTCTCCTGCCTCAGCCTCCTGAGTAGCTGGGACTACAGGTGCCCGCCACCATGCTCAGCTAATTTTTTTGTATTTTTAGTAGAGACGGGGTTTCACCATGTTAGCCAGGATGGTCTCGATCTCCTAACCTCGTGATCTACCCGCCTTGGCCTCCCAAAGTGTTGGAATTATAGGCATGAGCCACCGTGCCCGGCCAGGTGGCTGCCTTCTTGCTGTGTCCTCCTGTGGACGTGGGGCTGGGGATGGGGGGAGCTGGAGCTAGCAGGGGAGCACTGGTGTCTTTTTTTTTTTTTTTTTTTTTTTGAGACGGTGTTTCACTCTTGTTGCCTAGGCTGGAACGCAGTGGCACGATCTTGGCTCACCACAACCTCTGCCTCCCGGGTTCAAGCGATTCTCCTGTCTCAGCCTCCCAAGTATCTGGGATTACAGACATGCACCACATGCCTGGTTAATTTTATATTTTTAGTAGAGACAGGGTTTATTCATGTTGGTCAGGCTGGTCTCGAACTCTTGACCTCAGGTGATCCACCTGCCTTGGCCTCCCAAAGTGCTGGGATTATAGGCGTGAGCCACCATGCCCATCCTGGAGTCTCTTCTTATAAAGACCCTAATCCTGTTGTGTCAGAGCCCCACTCTTATGACCTGATTTTACCTTAATGACTTCCTTAGAGGCCCCATCTCCTAATACTGCCACATTAGGAGTCGGGACTTCATGAATTTTGCGGGGGGGATACAAACATTCATTTCATAGTAACCCTCCTTCTCCCTTCCTCTCCTTTCATGCTATTTATTTGTGGCTGAAACCATGTCCTCCAAATGTCTTACAGTCTGCATTTGGAGGTGGCTTCCTTGTGGCTAACATCTTCCTCTCTCCCTGTTTCTCCAATGCAGTAGGAGTTAGGGTTGGAGGGTGATTGGACCAGGCTGAATCTCAGGCAGGAAGCTTCATAGGCATGTACTCCCTCCGGCCCCATCTCAACAGGCAAGCAGGTTTGGGTGGGTTAGGTCTTGTCAGCCTGCTCCTTCCTTGATGACATTCTGTATTAATTGTCCATCTCATAGCTCCAGCAGGCATTAGTGTCATCACCTAGACCTATCATTAGGGGCTGCACCATAGTGATTTTCTAACTTCATCTTCTCTGAGTTCATTAGCTGGAATTCTCTTCTGTGAAAAAAAGCTTTGTTATTAATCTTGGTTGCTCTTGATAATACAGGGAGACTTCATCAGTTTTCACAATGATGCATTGGTGTTCTGATATGTATAAAGATGACCAGGAAGCTTCGTTTTCCTTATTGTCATGATGACCAATCCATTGGCTTTTAGGGTGTGATGTCTCCACTGTTATATTTTTGATGATCAGGGAATCCTTTTGAGTAATCTTTGAAAACTCCCTTCCTTTATGATACAAGTTGATCCAGCCTCTTCCTGTATATTTCCTGCCTGAGACACAAAGCCAGACAGTGTTCTAAAGAGTTTCTCTTCCCTTTATCATTAAATAATACTTAGAATGCACTCTGGGTGCTAGATGAAATTCTTTTTTTTTTTTTTTTTTTTTTGAGATAGGGTCTCACTTTGTCACTCAGGCTGGAGTGCAGTAGTATGATCTTGGCTCATTGTAACCTCCACCTTCCAGGCTCAAGCAATCCTCTCAACTCAAGTCTCCCAAGTAGCTGGGACCACAGGCATGTGCCATCACATCTGGCTAATTTTTGTATTTTTGGTAGAGGTGGGTTTCGCCATGTTGCCCAGGTTTGTCTCAAACACCTGAGCTCAAGTGATCCTCCCACCTCAGCCTCCCAAAGTGCTAGGATTACAGATGTGAGCCACCGTGCCCAGTTGAAATTCTTTATTAAGAGTAGAGTAATACTACTTATCATGGCTCATTTCACCTGTGTACATGATGGACTGGATCTCCAATTTCATTTTAATTCTAGGTGGGAATGATGGTTAGATGCTGCCGAACATACGAAGAAGTGTGCGAAGGTGATGTGATGTTGGCAAAGTCATCAAGCTGGACAGAGATGGATTGCATGATCTCAATGTGCAGTGTGACTGGCAGCAGAAAGGGGGCATCTACTGGTTTAGGTACATTCATGTGGAACTTATAGGTGAGCACATTCTTTGTTTAGTGCTTTTACTTTTTCTTAGAGACAGAATTCCCATAAATGAATACTGATTATAATGATTTGTTATTGAAATCTGTAGGCTATCCTCCACCAAGAAGTTCTTCTCACATCAAGATTGGTGATAAAGTGCGGGTCAAAGCCTCTGTCACCACACCAAAATACAAATGGGGATCTGTGACTCATCAGAGTGTGGGGGTTGTGAAAGGTAATATCATCTGGGTAATTAAATTCCTGATGTTAACTTTTCATTAATGCATATGTACTTAGTATTTCTTTTTGTTCAAGCACACAAAACAGAAAACAAGTGTGAAGAAAGAGATAGAGTGTTCCTTTGCTTGTCAGTGCCTTCTGCCAAAGGCCACAAAGGAACTCACCTACAGTGAAACAATCAGATTTATTAATATTAACTCATTGCGGTACAGGAGAACACACACCTTGGGGAATGGGTGTCTCCATCAGAGGGAGTGAGCGAGGACTAATGAAGTTTATGTTGGGTATTTGGGGGAGGGGTCGAGAAAGCAGGGGTAATCCTAAAACAGGATGTCTTAATAAATTTACCTAGCAGGCAGAAAGAATGGAGCCATGCTAACGTCATGATTGGTAAGGAAGCAGTCATTCATATCACCAGGATAGGGGACTGTGTGGTTGTTTGTGGTTTGGATTAGACTCAACTTTAATCACACATGGTTAAGGAGGGGTTTTGGTTGTGCCTTGATTCATCAGTCACAGAGTGGCCTTATCTGATGTTCGTGTTCTGTAAACTTGTCCTGTCATTTGTTCTGTGAAATGGCCTAACATTGACATTAACAGGCCAGCTCCTGACTGTCAGGACTGCTTTTTCTTTCTCCTCCCCTGACCAGGCTGGAGTGCAGTGGCGCCATCTTGGCTCACTGCAACCTCCGCCCCCGGGTTTAAGCAGTTCTCCAGTCTCAGCCTCCAGAGTA
This sequence comes from Homo sapiens, assembly GCF_000001405.40. Taxonomy (NCBI): domain Eukaryota; kingdom Metazoa; phylum Chordata; class Mammalia; order Primates; family Hominidae; genus Homo; species Homo sapiens. The sequence goes on from NC_000015.10 coordinate 22,578,295, forward strand.
GCTGGGATTACAGGTGCCCACCACCGTGCCTGGCTAATTTTTGTATTTTTCATAGAGATGGCGTTTCCCCATGTTGGCCAGGCTGGTCTCGAACTCCTTACCTATTGATCCGCCCACCTCGGCCTCCCAAAGTGTTGGGATTACAGGCATGAGCCACCATGCCTGGCTCTTTTTCATGCTGTATAAAAATTTAGGACTGAATTTAAGAAATGGAAATGTGCTAATGATGGAAATTAGGAACTGGAAACAATTCTCAGATTATATTTAATATGATACTGTTGAGATTCCAAATCAAATCCGTGGCACACTTTGAAAGGCACACTATGTCCGTTTTAACAGTTGCATGAGAAATAAGTATGTGTATAGTTTTATAAACTCTTGATGCATAAAGAGATTATTTGTTTGTTCGTTTGAACCTTGTGGAAGCCTCTCTTTTCATCAGATCGCTTAGAAAATGGCCACAGTTGGTGGTTCCCCAGTGGTGAGAGGTTCCTAGAGCTTCTCATGTTACATAAGAACAAGTGGATTATTTAATATTTTACTTTAAACATTTTTCTTTGCTTAAGAGATTGTTAAAATATTTGCAAATCAAAACAAGACAAATTTTAAAAATAAGAATTTGGTTTCTTTGTTTTGAGTGACACGTTGCTCTTATCAAAGGATGAAAGAAGTCTTCATGTTATTAATGTGGTTTTTATTCCCTGAGATACCAAAGGTATTGTATGGAATTGTTGACTTGGTGTAATTAGAAACCAAAATGTCCTATTTTAAACCTAATGCAAAAGTAAGGAATGTAGTTTACAATGAACCTCCATGTGCTCATTACCTGGCTTTAACGATTGTCGCCTCATGGCCAAAATTATTCATGCTCCCTTCTTGTGATTATTTTGAAACCAGGCGCTGACATCATATATTAGTTCATCCATAAGCATTTTAGTACCTATCTCTAAAAGATAGACTCTTTGTAAAAAACAAATAACTACAATGTAGTATGACATGGCTAGGTGCAGTTTTAAGTTCAGGTTTTTATTGGTGAAGAGGAAGATGGATCAGGTGATTTCTGTTGTGTCCTGGCTTTCAGTGCCAATGGAAAAGATATCATTGTTGACTTTCCCCAGCAGTCTCACTGGACTGGGTTGCTATCAGAAATGGAGTTGGTGCCCAGTATTCATCCTGGGGTTACGTGAGTTATTTTTATGATTGCTAGATTTGCTTTGGGACGAATGGTTTTCTGTTGAATTAAGTTTAATAAATGACCTTTCTTAACTCAGTTGCTATTTTACAAATAGGTGTGATGGATGTCAGATGTTTCCTATCAATGGATCCAGATTCAAATGCAGAAACTGTGATGACTTTGATTTTTGTGAAACGTGTTTCAAGACCAAAAAACACAATACCAGGCATACATTTGGCAGAATAAATGAACCAGGTATGGCAGAATGTTTATATTCTCTCTTCCACCAAATATTAATGAAATACTTATTGTGGACCACAGTGTACTGGAATTTGTTATTTTAAGGTTCCTTTGCATATGGTAATTCTGTAGAGTGAGTACAGTGAGACGGAAGTGACGGTCCTACCCGCTGATGACTGGCTGGCTTTTTAAAAAAATCAGGATGGGGTATCGGGGAAGAATTAGAATAACTAGGCTTGTTTGCTTGTTTTTCCATAAAGAAACATTAAAAGAATCTCAAGAAACTAGTAAGTGTTTAGTTGCGTGGCATGTGGAATTGGTTAGATGGAGAGTGAGTGTTTTAATTTGTATACCTTTTATTATATTTTTCATTGTGGCAAAATATATTTAACTTAAAATTAGCCACTTAGTCATTTTCTAAGTTTATAATTCAGGGTATTAAGTACCTTAAGTACAGTGTTGCACAACCATCACAACTTTCTCTTACCAAAACTTTTCACCACTCCGATCAGAAACTCTGTACCCATTAAGCAATTTAACTGCCCTACTTCCCCTTACCCCAACCCTGGTAACCTTGAATCTAACTTTGGTCTCTACGAATATGACCACTCCAGACATCTCATCTAGATGGAACCATGTAAGATTTATCCTTTTGTGTTTAGCATAATGTCTTCAAGCTTCATCCGTATTGTAGCATGTGTCAGAACGTCATCCTTTTTAATGGCTGAATAATATTCCACTGTATGCATATATCACTTTTCTTCTTTGTGAGATAGAGTCTCACTCTGTTGCCCAGGCTGGAGTGCAGTGGCACAATCTTGGCTCACTGCAACCTCCACCTCCTGGGTTCAAGCAGTTCTCCTGTCTCAGCCTGCTGAGCAGCTGGGATTACAGGCCGGTGCCACCATGCTCAGCTAACTTTTCTACTTTTTTTTTTTAATTATTATTTTTTTGAGACAGAGTCTCACTCTGTCTATAAGGAGTGTATGTGTTATATACATTTTTAGTTTTAGTAGTTACTGAAGATATTAATTATAACATCTATTTTTGACTGATTTAAATCTATTATTATTTAGTAAAGTCTCCTCCTAAACAATGCAAAGACCTTAGTTCTCTTTAACATCATTTATCTTCATTCTGATTTATATGTTCTTAACATATTTTAATTTTTAATTTTTTTTTTTTTTGAGACGGAGTCTCACTCTGTCGCCCTGGCTGGAGTGCAGTGGCGCGATCCTGGCTCACTGCAACTGACACCTCCCGGGCTCAAGCGATTCTCCTGCATCAGCCTCCTGAGTAGCTGGGATTATAGGCTCCTGCCACCACGCCTGGCTAATTTTTGTATTTTTAGTGGAGGTGAGATTTCACCATGCTGGCCAGGCTGCTCTTGAACTCCTGACCTCAGGCGATCCACCCACCTCAGTCTCCCAAAGTGCTGGGGTTATGTGCATGAGCCACCACGTCCAGCCAAAATTTTATACATTTTATACAAATATATATCTAACAGAACTATCGAAGACATTCTTTTATGCACATAGAAAATGTTCATAAAATCCAGTCATATGCTAAGTGGGTCATATGCTCAAACAAAATTTCAAAAAAAGTCAAAGGATCAGCCAGGCGCAGTGACTCATGCCTGTTTTTGTTTTTGTTTTTGTTTTTGTTTTTTGAGACAGAGTCTCGCTCTGTCACCCAGGCTGGAGTGCAGTGGCGCGTGATCTCAGCTCACTGCAAGCTCCGCCTCCTGGGTTCTCGCCATTCCTCCCGCCTCAGCCTCCCGAGTAGCTGGGACTACAGACGCATGCCACCATGCCAAGCTAATTTTTCGTATTTTTAATAGAGATGGGGCTTCACCGTGTTAGCCAAGATGGTCTCGATCTCCTGACCTCATGATCCATGCCTGTAATCCCAGCACTTTGGGAGGCCGAGGCGGGTGAATCAGGAGTTCAGGAGATCGAGACCATCCTGGCTAACGCGGTGAAACCCTGTCTCTACTAAAAGTACAAAAAATTAGCCGGTGTGTTGGCGGGCACCTGTAGTCCCAACTACTTGGGAGGCTGAGGCGGGAGAATGGCGTGAACCCAGGAGGCGGAGCTTGCAGTGAGCCGAGATCGTGCCACTGCACTCCAGCCTGGGCGACAGAACAAGACTACGTCTCAAAAAACAAAAAAAGCAAAAAAACAAGTCAAAGGATCAAACAATACATGCAGGGCATATGACGATTTTATGTAGTCAATATTGATTTAGATTTTTCTGCATACTTTGTAATTTCTCTCCACTTTTTTCTTCTTCTTTAATTTTCCATCTATACTGTTTTTCTCCTGCCTGAAAATCCCCTTAATATTTTTAAAAATGTGTCTTTGTTGGTTACAAATTATCTATTTTTGTATGTCTGAAAATGTCTTTATTTCTCCTTTATTTTTGAAAAGTCTTTTTGCTAGGTGTTTTCTTTCAGCACTTTAAAAATAGTATTCCATTGCAATTTGGTTTATATTATTTCTCCTGAAGTTGGATGGAAGTCTAATTGTGGTTCATTTTATTTTTCCTTCGTCTGCTTTTCAGAGAGTCTTTTTGTTTTCATCTGGCACAGGTTTTACATGTGCATGGAGATGTTTATCTTTCTTGGGGTTGGTAGGGCTTCTGGGGCATGATATCTGTTGTCTGTTTTGGAAAATTCTGTCTTTCAGTATTTCTTCACATTTTGCCTCTGCTCTATTCTCTTTTCTATCTTTTTGGGGGGACTCTTCTTTCACTTGTGTTAGGCCTAACCTCTGTCCTGCAGATCTTTTACCTTCTTGTTATGTTTTCTAAACTTTTGCTCCTCAGTTCTTCATTCCAGATATTTTTACTTTCTCTTCAGCTGAGTTCAGTGTGTTCTAAACTTACTCATTAAGTTCTTAATTTTAAATATTGGATTTATCAGTTCTAGTCTTTCTATTTTATTTTCAGTAGTTTTTGGTTCTCTGCTGAAATATTATCTTTTTGAACACAGTAAGCATATTTATTATACTAAAGTCTGTGTCTTCTAACTCCAATATATGGAGCCCTTGTGGGTCTGTTTCTCTCCTATCATTTCTGGTCATTTTTAGTCGCTTTTTTTGCCTCTTCATGTGTCATTATGTACTGGACACCTAACAAATAAAGAGAAACACTATGTTCATGGGTTAGAAGACTGAATACTGTGAATCCATCCTTGCACATTGACTTACAGAATTAATGCAATCCACATCAAAATCCCAAGCAAGCGGTTTTATAAAAACTGACAAGCTCATTTTAAGTCATATGGAAATGTAAAGGGCCTGCAACAGCCAAAATATATTTGAAAAAGAACAAAGCTAAAAAACTGTTGCAACCTGAGTTCAGGCCTTTTATAAAGCTGTAGTAATCAAGACAATGTGGCATTGCCACCAAAATACACAAATAAATCAATGAAACAGTACTGGGAGTCCAGAAATAGATCCATACATCCATAGACAACTGATTTCTGACAAAGGCAAAAGGCAATTCAGTAGGAAAAGCGTAGTTTTTCAACAAATACAACTGAAACAACTGGACAATCATGCCCAAAAAAGCCTTTCAATCTGAACCTCCCACTATATATAAAATTTAATCAACTGGTCATAGATATACCTGTCTAAAACTATAAAACTTCTATAACAGAACATAGAAAGACAAACTTCATAATCTTGAGGCAAAGGTTTTGTAGTCACAACATCAAAAGTACACTCTACAAAAGAATAAAATGAATAAACTAGGCTTCATCAAAATTAAAAACTTCTAATCTTTAAGATTCACCTGTGAAGAGAATAAAATGACAAGCCACACTGACAGAAAATACTAGCAAATTCTATATTAGGCAAAGGACTTGTAACTCAGAATATATAAGGAACTCTCAAACCAGTAAGAAAACAACCTATTTAAATATGGGAAAAGACTTGAACAGACATTCACCAAAAAAGGTATGTGATTTGTAAATAAGCAAGATGCTTGAGATCATTAGTTATTAGGGAAATGCAGATTAAAACCACAACGAGATACCACTATACATCTGTCAGTATAACTAAAATTAAAGACTGAATGTATCAAGGGTTGACAAAAATGTGGAGGATGTGGACCTCTGGAACATCCACTTTGCAAAACAGTATGTAGCGATCTTAAGAAGCTAGACATACACGTACCATATGATCCAACCACTCCTCTCTTAGAAGTTTACCCAAGAGAATTTCAAGTGGATGTCCATACACAAACTTGTATGGAAATGTCCATTAGCAATTTCACTTGCATAGTCAAAAACTGGAAACAGCCCAAACATTCATCAACAGAAAAATGGATGAACAAATTGCATTTGTTTATCTTAAGATACTATTCAACAATTTAAAAGAATAAACTATTGATACATGCAACGTAAGTGAATCTCAAAATTATTATGCTGAGTGGAAAAAGTAAGATTTTTAAAAAGAGTATATGCTGTATGATTCTACTTATAGTAAGCTGTAAAACATGCAAACTGGCCTGCCACAGTGGCTCCTGCCCATAATCCCAGCACTTTGGGAGGCTGAGGTGGGAGGATCACTTGAGCCCAGGAGGTGGAAGCTGCAGTGAGCCAAGATCGTGCCACTGCACTCCAGCCTGGGCAACAGAGTGAGACCCTGTCTACAAAAAAAAGAAAACAAACAAATAAAACACCCACAAAACAACAACAACAAAAAGCAGACATGCAAACTGATCTCTAGTGACAGAAATTAAATTGGTGCATACGGCAGGAAGGAGGGAGTTAAAAGCAAAAGGGAGGGGTACAGAGGGCCAGAGAGAAACGCTGGGGTAGTGTATGAGTTCATTATCTTTGATTGTGCTGATGCTTTCATGGATCATACATATTCCAAAGTCGATCAAAATGCATACTTTAAATAGGTGCAGTTTATTATATGTCAATTATAACTGAATAAAGCTGTTAAAAAATACAAAAGAGCCCAGTACAGTGCCTGTATCTCTCAGGCAGTTATTAGGAGTCCTGTTTACACACAAGTACAGCGCTGTGAATTTACCTGATCATAAACACAAGAATCAGCAACATACTTTCTTCTAAAACTTTCATTCCAGCATGTATAAATCACATGAGCGCACACCATAATTCTTCTGTGTCTTTAGATTCATAATGTAGTTAACGCAGCACTACAACCTCTAATGTGTTGGCACAATTAAATAAATGTAAAGTTGCTGTAACCTACAGAAAAATCTCAGGATACAAATCTGTGTTACCTAAATAGGAAGCACCTAAAGGGTCTCTTGCAGTCTGGAAGAGGACGGGCTCGTGGACAGAGGGCATGGCCACATCCACAGTTGTCCACGCCACACTGTGGGATGACCCGCAAGCCACACACATGATCTTCTGGCCTTCTAAGCCTTGCACGAGTGTGGGCTTCCTGTTAACCGTGGTCGTGCCATTGCCCTGCTGGCCGTGGTCGTTGTCACCCCAAGCATACACCTGTTTACGAGGAGAAAAAAGCTTATAATTTTTCAACATTTCAGGACATTTTCTTTAATGTAATTTTTACTTCAAAATGCTTAACGTGTATGCCATGGTATTTGAAAGAATTGAGTTCTTAAAAGTAAAAGCAAACCATTTCACAATCTTACAAAATGGCATCGGTGTACTATAATTCTGAAGAAAATCTAACCATGAAAATGCCAATAACCATAAAAGGAGTATTTTCTTAATATTAATCAAATTAATTCTGCTTTGTTGCAAGTCACACAGAAGGTCCTCTCTTCAACTAAGTGCAATAATTTTTTCCCTTTTACTTTGCAAAGAAAAATGACCAAAAACAATATGCTCATTTTTCAAGTAAGTAGCTCCTTGGCCTTATAGAATTATAAAGTATAATTCATTTTGACTAAAAAACAGTAATGGTAATTTTGTTTTCATAAATAAAATTTTAAATTGAATATCTACAAGCCGGTCATAGCATATGCTTCTCCAAGCAGAAGAGAGTGTAACACTTGTCAGGCACTAGCTCTGTCTCTAAAATGAGGCATGGGTGCCTCCTCACCAGTTAGCAATTTCCTAAAGCAAAGTCTTGTTAATACCTTGCAGTAGGAGCATCTTCAAGAATAACAATCTTTTGGCCGGGTGCGGTGGCTCACGCCTGTAATCCCAGCACTTTGGGAGGCCGAGGCAGGTGGATCACGAGGTCAGGAGATCGAGACCACGGTGAAACCCCGTCTCTACTAAAAATACAAAAAATTAGCTGGGCGTGGTGGCGGGCGCCTGTAGTCCCAGCTACTCGGGAGGCTGAGGCAGGAGAATGGCATGAACCCAGGAGGCAGAACTTGCAGTGAGCCGAGATCGCGCCACTGCACTCCAGCCTGGGCGACAGAGCGAGACTCTGTCTCAAAAAAAAAAAAAAAAAAAAAGGATAACAATCTTTCCACACACTTTTCACGTGGACTTCAGAGTGGGAACGCCTCTTTTCTGAGGACCCCGCCCCCAACCCCTGCTGCTGAGTAGGCAGATACACCAGCGGGCAAAACGGATGGGTCCCGGCCTCATGGTTCTTCAAGCAGTAAGACTCGGCTGAGTTCATCAACAGCTGTGATTTCAACAGGACGAGGGCCATGTCGTGACCCCCACGTCCCCCAAGTCAGGATGGCACGCCACCCCCAGGCCACCTGCAGCCTTACCTGCCCCGAGTCCGTGACCGCCAGGCAGTGCAGGGCCCCGACAGCCACATGCACGATCTTCTTCCCTCTCAGCCCTTCCACCACCTACAGTTTCCACACGTGCACGTCAGAGCCCTGGCGCAACCTGAAGTAATCCCCCTTTCCCCTGAGAAGGAGGCCCGTGGTGGAGTGTTACAATATAGTTGTGGTCTGACAATGCTATACAAGAAGACACTCATTGTCTCACATCTTTCACAGCCAGCTCAATGACATCACACACAGCACCCAAGGTCTTCGAACTTGTATTCAAAATCATACACCATTAATTCAAATTAACTTATTAAGTCAGCTGGGAAAAACCTTAATACCTTAATACATGTTCTACAATATTTAAGTTACTGTTGTAGGTTTTCATATAGACTGAAAATAAGACACATTACTGCAAACACCTATCCAAAGTCCTATCTGGTATACATCTTTCTCAGAGTGCCAATGTCGGCCAGTAGCAGTGGTTCACGCCTGTAATCCCAGCACTTTGGGAGGCCGAGGCGGGTGGATCACAAGGTCAGGAGATCGAGACCATCCTGGCTAACATGGTGAAACCCTATCTCTACTAAAAACACAAAAAAATTAGCCGGGCATGGTGGCAGACGCCTGTAGTCCCAGCTACTCGGGAGGCTGAGGCAGGAGAATGGCGTGAACCCGGGAGACGGAGCTTGCAGTGAGCTGAGATTGTGCCACTGCATTCCAGCCTGGGCGACAGAGCGAGACTCCATCTCAAATAAATAAATAAATAAATAAATAAATAGTGCCAATGTTATGACCAGAGGCAGCAAGGCCTGACACAGCATCCAAGGCCAGTCTGGGCACCTGCTCATTTGCACATTAATATAATAAGCTTTTACAAGAAATACATGTTAACTTTCTCAGGATCAAAGGATTCAGAAGGCTATTTTGCTCTCATTTTATCCTTAGGCTTCAGCAGAAGAAACACTTCCTATAAATCTCGCCCAAACAGGAAAGGTAAGTGGCCTAAAATTTTTCTAGTATTTTCAAAATGACCCAGTTACAATAGGAAATTTCTTCTTGTACTATTGTCACTAATCCCGACTCAATATCCTTTAAAGGACAAAGATGCATGCATAAGTAAAAATATGACAGGTCACAATCACGCCGGGGTGGTCCTGGGGCGAGGCCCAAGTTCCCTGCACGCGTCGGCACAAGCACGCACACTGTGACGGGGAGGACGTTTACGTACCATGTCCACACCACTCCAGACTTGGTGAGCGCCAGTAGGAACTGAGCTCCACACTCAATCTGGCACACCCCCTGTCCATTTAGTCTCTCAATGTTCTGGGGAATGTTGCAGCCTTCACTTCCGCCCCGGCCCAATTTTCCAAAGTCACCATCACCCCAGGAAAATACCAAACCTAGGTTTAAAAATAGGGAAGGGAAGGGAAGGGAAGGGAAGGGAGAGAAGAAAGGAAAGATAAAGAAAGCCCAACCTCCTTCCAAAATGTCATGAGAATCTTGAGCACATATGGTCCTTGGCATGACCACATGACCTGCAGAGCCCCTGTTATAGAACTCATTTTTATATTTTCCTTAGTATAACAGTTAATATAATATGTCATTTTTGTTAATAGTGTCTTTTTGTCATTTTACTTTTTAAAAGATTTTATTGAAATATACATACAGGAAAGTGCATCTATCATAAGTGTGCAAATTGATGAATTCTAAAATCTTTATTGTACCTGTTTAGCACATAGATTGACACTGAACATAACTAACAACCAGAAATCTCCGTGTACTCCCTTCCTGTAACTACCCCTGCGCCCGACCAAATCACTCTCTTCTAACAGCATAACTTTGTGTGACTAGCTTTTTTAATGTAAAAGAATGAAATCTACAGCATGTATTCATTTGCATCTGGCTTCTGCCACCCAACATTATATTTGTGGGATTCATTTGTACAGTTGCATATTAGTTTGCAGATCCCTCACTCTCATTTCTATATGGTATTATATTGCATAAACGTACCACACTTTATCCAACTACTGTTAAATATTTGTGCATTTTCTACTTGGGGGTGATTTCAAATAGTGCTGCTATGAACATTCTTGTAAATGTCTTTTGGTGAACATATGCAACACATATATGCGTTGTTGTTGGTTCCCAGGAGGGGCATTCCTGGGTCATAAACAATGCGTGTGTTCAGGTTTAGTACAGTATAATGCCAAACAGGTTTCCAAAGTGTTTGTGCCACTTTACATACCTGCCATTATTGAAAAAGAGTTCTGTTTGCTCCACATTGTCACCAATACTTGATATTTTCTGTTTTTTTTTTCTTTTAAACCGTACTAGTGGGTGTGCAGTGATATTGCAATGTGGTTTTAATTTGCATCTTCCTTGTGACAACCTTGATTACTGTAAGCCACTTGGAAATGTGATTTAAATTCATATAAAGATATAGTAGCAAAACGCATACTAGGTTACTTTCGTATCCAGAAAGTTTAGATAGAATGATTTCTATGTAAGCTTTTACTGTGTAGTCTGAGTCCATGAATATTGATTACAAAAAACACATCTGTAGGTGAGTTACAATACCTCACTTATAATTCCAAATTCATGTTGTGTTAGCTCAATATTTTTCAAATAATTTTTGCATGCAATTTTCACCTTCTTTCTGAGTAGTTTCAGGTATTTTGTATGGTTCCAGCAGTCAGTTAGGTTGCCATTGTTTGGAAGCACACATCCACGTATCTGCACCATGATGATATGACACGCCCATACCCCCCATTTCACATTTTGTCAGAAGTGCATAGTTATCACTAACTTTGCCAGTAGAAATGTACTCCCAATTTCCCACGGACTTATCTTGAATAATCTCTCCACTGAAGCATAACAGGTTTTGAATTCTGTTAGAATAGTTGTTTTTACTATCTTTTAATTTTATACAAATTTCAAAGTTACGTAATACTTTTATTTAAAAAGTGAAACAAAGCTTTTCCTCTCCTTTACCCACATGTTAGTCCAGCAGAGGGGGAAAGCATTGGCCCCAGGCCAAAATCATAAACGCTTTCAATTAACTAATAATAATTGCTGGCATGTTGCCATTAAATATTCTTGTCTCATTATCTCTGGTTGCTTTATCAAACCCATAGGTCACTGAAGCCCACTTTTGAGACAAAGACTATTTCTCCCCCAAAAGTCAAGGGAAATATAAAAAATGAAATTAGTGATTAAGAATAGAAGTCAATTAATACAATCATTTTGTCTTAATTATTTAAAGTCCAGTTTTTTCCCTCCAGCAAACCTGAAAATACACTATCCTCCAGCTATCAGAATTATATTGAGATCTACTCACATTTATGATGATGTTCAGAGATTCTCATTGGGAAGGAAAAGGCACACGCTGCGGCGGTCTTGCATGACTCTGTTGTTGTGGAAATTCAATTTGTTCATTGTGTTTTGGGCTCTCTGGGTGGTCAGGGCTGGGCTCTGGGTCCTTGGCAATTCCTCAGGTTCCCAGCACTCCAAAGCCAAGCTCACCTCCTCATCACACACCCTACAGGAGAAGCATTAGGGTGTCCGACTACGTGGGTTTCATAGCTGTGGAAAAGCCAAAGGGGAGACTCCTGAAGAAAGGCGGTGAAGACTGTGAAGAGCGGGTCAGGAAGATGAGCACAGCACTGCTACTCCTGTGGGCACAGGGACAGCATGTCTCCAGCCAGCGCCACCTTGTTTAATACATGGGAACTCACTGAAATTCATTCTGTATTTTGCCCGCAAAGTTTTAAAGCTTTCATCCACAGTCAGGAATTAAACTTATACCAATGAGAGCCTCACACATTCAAGGATGTACTAAGCACTACAGGCCTCACAGAAACAGAGATCCCATCTTGGAGTTTTCAGTACCACATGGGAGATAAAGGGTTTTGAACATGAAATGACAAAAACAACAGCAAGAAGAAAATTCTTGTCCTTTTTCATTACTATCAGACTCAAATAAATGTCTTGGCTCTTACATTACATTCATTCTTCAACCATTGTGGTCTGGCTTCCACTTCCTTCACTTCACCAACATGGCTCTGCCAAAGGAAGCCCGTGATCTCTAGGCCATCACTTTAATTGATCTTTCTACAACATTTATCCTGGTTGTTAAGCCCTCCTTACAACATTCTTCTCTCTTTGTTTTTATAGCTCCATCTCTCCTGCTTCTTTAACTTGATAATGCATACTTGATTTTTCTATTTGTTATTTCATAAACCAATTAATACACAGATAAAATGACTGTATATCAAACCATGTTTGTATAGAAAAAATGGATTTTGGATGCCTCTCATATGTAATTAGTTCTATTAAACATATTAATTGTATTGTTTAATTTGTCAGGTTTTTGACAGAATTTTGTTTACAAGTAATAAAAATTTTATCTCCAATTTTCAATAATTACACCCATTATTTCTGTTTTATGTCTCATTGCATTGATGAGATCTTGCAGAATAATTTTAAAACAGTAGTGGGTATTTTCTGCTTTTAATGGGTATGTCTAGTATTTCATATATTGTTGCTTATAGAACACTATTCAACCAAGACATGTCAAGACTAGTTGTCTCTCAAACCATTAGTATTTATATTATTCCTTTCCAGCTACACTTGTAGGATGTAAAAGACCATTTCCAGGAATATGGAACTGTTTTACTAGGTGGAGGGTATATATAACCATATAATAGTCACAGAAACTACATTAATACTCACATAAATCAAAGCATAAATGACATAGAATCTTGGCAGATTTGCTTAAGGTTAAATGTATAACTCTTATCAGCAGGAGGTGAAAGAATATATTCTTAGATACTTGGCACATTTAGAAAATATAATCTAATATTCTTTTTAAAGAATAGGCCGGGCACGGTGGCTCACACCTGTAATCCCAGCACTTTGGGAGGCCAAGGCGGGCGGATCACGAGGTCAGGAGATCGAGACCATCCTGGCTAACACGGTGAAACCCCGTCTCTACTAAAAATACAAAAAATTAGCTGGGCGCGGTGGCGGGCACCTGTAGTCCCAGCTACTCAGGAGGCTGAGGCAGGAGAACGGCATGAACCCGGGAGGTGGAGCTTGCAGTGAGCCGAGATCGCGCCACTGCACTCCAGCCTGGGCGAAAGAGCGAGACTCTGTCTCAAAAAAAAAAAAAAAAAAGAATAAATAAAACATCATCTACAAGGGAATTACTTGAAATTAAAACAAATGGTAGTCATATATATGGTACTTCATTATTAGGAAGGTGGCTAAAAGCCCATTTAGACATATTCTGCTTTTCTTAAGGAATAATGATCGTTTCATGTTAGGTTATAGCCAGCACAGCACCTCGTGGGGTCATCAGAGGCCTGTGCTATCATTCTCACTAGGAGGGATGGTTAACCCATGTGTTCTAGGACCACAAACTATGCCCCAATCTACTCATCCATCTAGAAAAAAAGGCATGCTTTTAGTTCAACAATTCCAAAGCATCAGTTGGAGGACCAGTGTTGGCTGCATCAGAATCACCTGGGTGTTTGTAATAAATACAGAATCCTGAGCAGGTATTCTGGCATTTCTGTTCATACAGAATCTCCAGGGTCAGGGCCAAGTATGTCTGATGTGTAGCAACAGACGGAAACCATCACTTTAGTTAGCAGAAGGAAGGCACTGAGCAGAGGGTTGAATATAATACATTGGAAAAATATCTTAAAGAATTGGGAAAAAGTAATATATGTGAATATCACATCATCATTATAATAGGAAAAAACAAGGTCCTCAACATTGTCAAAGGTATAAATTCCTAAAACAGGTCAAATTCGTGTTCTCAAAACATTTTCCTGAAAAATGTTACTAGGTGGTATAGGGATAAATAGGTTTGCAAAGTACTGTACCCTCTATATATCTTGTCTCAGAAATTCAGAAAGTGTTAAAGACTCTGAGAAGTCCTGCAGGCAACTTCTTATATTTAATGCAGTATATCTCAAACTCACTTGAGCACACAATACTTTTTTCCCCCGAGGCATATCTATTAAGGTCCTATAGAACAATATTCTTAGGCATACCATTTAGAGATACAATTCTAAAATGATTTTATCAAATATTATATTTCATGGCAAAGTTTTTCCCTATATATTGACATATTCCAACACTTAGTCTTCTTTTTTGCAATATAAATCTTTTCAAGAGGAAATTATAAGCATTGATTAAATGCATCTTAAATTCAAAACCTTAAATAATATTCATCCCAGTATAATTCTTCTTATTGAAATCTATACTTCAAATTGAGTTAGTCCTATAATTTTTCACTTCTAATTAAACCAATTAAAGCAGGGTATGTCTACTGACCTACTTTCCAGAATTTAAAAAATAAACTAGGAAAAAACATCTTCTGAGCTCTGGGATGTTTCCAGAGCTTCATTAAAATAACTTGAAATTTTCATTTGGGTACAGTTTTTGCTTATTTTATGGTTCAAATATGCAGCACAAAAGATGACTGGAAGAGGATTATTGAAGCAAATTTAATAAAAGCAGAGTCTATATGAGGCAGTGCTGCTTCATTGCTGCTTTTTCTGCTTTGAGGATGGCAAACTAGAAAAGCCCTTAGATTAAGTTTTTACTTTACCTAAGACAGCATTAAAGCTGATTAAAAGGTTCCACTGAAATGGCAAAATGGCCATATCTCTAATAAGCGCCAGTATAAAACTTAATCTTAAATTGGGCAGTCCTGGGGAAAAGAATTAGATTTAATTTATACCAATTTGAATTATAGAAGTCAGACTCATAGCAGCCATTGGCTACTTATTCTGTGTGCTAAACTAAATCTCAACTCAGTCCCAGGAGGACACATTTCCTACTACAGGGCAACCCTTTTCTGCCCAGTGATCTTAGGTTCGATTATCTATGAAGGGTAGACCATGTGGTAGTAACATATTTTCCAGGGAACAAAACAAATCAGTTTTAATAGTGATCAAACCCCACCCAGCCTCTTTATGTATTAATACCCAACTTACAAAACCGTATGTTAAGCTGTACAATTCCTCCACTGGAAATTTAAGCGCACATTATTATGAGTTCCTTATTTCCTGATAAGTCCCAATGGTTACAAAATTACTCAGTTTCTTTGAAGAATCAGGAAGCCACCACCCATGGGCACTCAATACTGATTGTCATTTTTAACAAATTGTGGGAAATAAGCTTTAAAACTGGGTCACTACCCCTAAAAGTATGCAGTTTAGTTATAATATATCAATACTGATTTGTTAGTTGTGACAAATATACCATAATCATGTAAGATGTTAGCAACAAGGGAAACTGGGTGCCTGTGTGGTACACAGAAACTCTCTATACCACCTTTGCAACTGTTTTCTAAATATAAAACTATGCTAATATTTTTTTAAATTTAAAAATTAAAAGTAGGTCACCAGAAATTTCCTACCCACATAATATAGTCTCATTTTGAATGTAGGCAAAGGAGGATTCTCAATTCTAGGACTGTCTCTCTAAAAAAGTAAAAAGCTGGTAATTTGATAAGATTACTGCAAGAGAAGCATGACTAAGTAGGCATATATCAACAGTCAATATGGTACCTTTATTACCTAACAAAAACAAGGCAAAAATTTATCTTGGAAAACTGGATTGCAGAGAACCCTATCTTCTAATTTAATCATCACACACTTACATAGCTCATGTTACACACACAGTACGGTAATATTTATTTGCTGAAAAGCAGAATACAAAAGCATTAGATACTCCCCATCCACCTATGAGTTCACCATCTAGTTAAGTACACGTCACTGCCAAGAAGCTTAAAATGATAGTATTGTCCCTGATTTCTAAGAGCACACATACGCTGACGGGCAACTCTCATGCCAACCTCAAAGGAAGGTAGAATGGATAACAGCATTAAGTCTACAAATACTGTGCTGTGAACACTGTAGCTAAGACCATTCTGGAATAAACAGTGTATCATCTTTAATGTATAGTATCCTATCCCAAAAGTGATATCAAAATGTCTTTAGTAAAATGAGTTCTGTTCTTCTTCATTCTTTCATTCAGCACCTACTGTCTGCCAAGTGTTGCTGTATATGCTGAGCACACTAACAGCACTAACAAAAATACCCTGCTCTAATAGAAACAGACAATAAGTATATGACGTAGATGGTGTTATGTACTATGAAGAGAAATAAGCCCAGAGCAGATGAGAGTTGATGGAGTTGTGTCTTAATTTGCCTTATTTTACATATATTTAACGTATTAAAATCGTGCTGACATCCTATGTGGAAAGGTTTACTGAAAATTTGAGAGACAGAG
Source organism: Homo sapiens (assembly GCF_000001405.40). Taxonomy (NCBI): domain Eukaryota; kingdom Metazoa; phylum Chordata; class Mammalia; order Primates; family Hominidae; genus Homo; species Homo sapiens. Next base: position 22,594,706 of record NC_000015.10, read on the forward strand.
AATGGCTGATCTGTAGAACATGGGTACTGTCTAAAAGAACCTTCACTGATTCTTTCAAACTTTTCCAGAGATAAACTTAGACTCATTTTGAAAGTTGCTTTATTACCAAAAAATTGCCACTCCATGAAAAGTTCAGCACTTGATGCCAATAGATGTGACAACAAAAAAGCAACTTCGGCATCACATATATGGTCAGGAAAACCATCAGAAACTAAGAGATTTTTTTTTTTTTTTTTTTTTTTTTTTTTTTTTTGGTGATGGAGTCTTGCTCTGTCACCCAGGCTGGAGTATAGTGTTGCAATCTGGGCTCACTGCAACCTCCGCCTCCCCGGTTCGAGTGATTATCCTGCCTCAGCCTACCGAGTAGCTGGGATTACAGGCATGCACCACCACACCCCAAAATGAGGTTTCACCATGTTGGCCAGGCTGGTCTCAAACTCCTGACCTCAGGTGATCCACCCACCTCTGTTGCAGGAAGTCAGGGACCCCAAACGGAGGGACCAGCTGAAGCCATGGCAGAAGAACATAAATTGTGAAGATTTCATGGAGATTTATTAGTTCCCCAAATTAATACTTTTATAATTTCTTACGCCTGTCTTTACTGCAGTCTCTGAACATAAATTGTGAAGATTTCATGGACACTTATCACTTCCCCAATCAATACCCTTGTGATTTCCTATGCCTGTCTTTAATCTCTTAATCCCGTCATCTTCATAAGCTGAGGAGGATGTATGTCACCTCAGGACTCTGTGATGATTGCGTTAACTGCACAAATTGTTTGTAGAACATGTGTGTTTGAACAATATGAAATCTGGGCACCTTGAAAAAACAACAGGATAACAGCAATGTTCAGGGAACAAGAGAGATAATCTTAAACTCTGACTGTCGGTGAGCCGGGCGGAACAGAGCCATATTTCTCTTCTTTGAAAAGCAAATGGGAGACATATCGTTGAGTTCTTTTTCTCAGCAAGGAACATCCCTGAGAAAGAGAATGTATCCCTGAGGGGAGGCCTCTGAAATGGCTGCTTTGGGGACGACTGTCTTTTACAGTCACAGCAGAGGGATGAAATAAGCCCCGGTCTCCCATAGCGCTCCCAGTCTTATTAGGACGAGGAAATTCCTGCCTAATAAATTTTGGTCAGACCAGTTGTCTGCTCTCAAACCCTGTTTCCCGATAAGATGTTATCAATGACAATGCGTGTCTGAAACTTGATTAGCAATTTTAATTTCGCCCCGGTCCTGTGGTCCTGTGATCTCGCCCTGCCTCCATTTGCCTTGTGATATCTTACTACCTTGTGAAGCATGTGATCTCTGTGACCCACACCCTATTCGTACACTCCCTCCCCTTTTGAAAATTGCTAATAAAAACTTGCTGGTTTTACGGCTCAGGGGGCATCACGGAACCTGCCAACATGTGACGTCTCCCCGAGACACCCAGCTTTAAAATTTCTCTTTTGTACTCTGTTCCTTTATTTCTCAGACCGGCCAACACTTAGGGAAAATAGAAAAGAAACTATGTGAAATATCGGGGGTGAATTTTGCCCGATACACCTCAGCCTCCCAAAGTGCCAGGATTACAGGTGTGAGCCTTCGTGCCTGGCCGATAACTCCTTTGAAACAACATAAATATGGAAATGAACTACTCACATATGTTATTATATTGCCCATATCCTTCTGCAGCTTGCCTTTTTCACCCAAAGTTTTCTTCATGAGATTTACCCATGTTAATTCTTTTCAATCTAGTATGTTCATGTTTAATTGCTGTATAATATTCCACCACATGGATATGAGTTTATCCAATCTCTTGTTGGTTAACTTACATTCTGCATCATCTTATGTTACTGCAAATACTACTGTGATAAACAGGTTTTCCAAATTTCTTTGTACACATGTGTTTTTTTGCTCAGGTATGTGCATCTTCAACTTCATTAGAGATTATAAAATTGCGCTCCACTTTACCTAGCTGAGTTTCCACTGGCCCATATCTCTGCCAGCAATTCTGTCAGACTTACATTTTCGCCAATCTGAAGATGACAGAATAGTCATTTTAACTTTCAATTTATCCATGAGTTTCTAGTTCAAGTATCTTTTCCCATGTTTACTGACCATTCCAGTTTCTTCCTCTATAAAGTAACTCTTCACATCCTATGCCCATTTTGTCTTAAGTTTTTCTTTTCATTATTAGGCTATTTTTCATATCCTGGATACTAACCATTACAAAAAGTTTCCCTACAACAAGATCACAAAGACAGGTAAATTTTCTTTGAAATTTTTTCTAGTTTTTCTTTTCATATTTTAGTCTTGTAATGTCAGAAAAAAAGACCTAACACTCAAATGTCAAAAAAAACCTAACTGAATAAAAAAGTGGTACATCCACACTACAAAGTACTAATTTTAAAAAAGATGAAGAACATTTCTATAAACAGATATGAAGTGATCTCTAAGAGAAGTTTAAAAAGGTGCAAAATGGGCCGGATGCAGTGGCTCACACCTGTAATTCCCAGCACTTTGAAAACACTCTGGGAGGCTGAGGCAGGTGGATCGCCTGAGCCCGATATCAGCCTGGGCAGCATGGCAAAACCCAGTCACTACCAAAAATACAAAAAAAATAGCCGGGTGTGGTGGCACACACCTGTGGTTCCAGCTACCCTGGAGGCTGGGGTGGGAAGACAGCTTGAGTCTAGGAGGCAGAGGTTTCATTGAGCCAAGATCACACCACTGTACTCCAGCCTCAGTGACAGAGTGAGACCCCACCCCAGGTCAAAAAACAAAGTGCACAATGGTATATGCTATCTTTTATCTAAGGGAGGGAGAAAATATTCCTGCCTCAGCCTCCCGAGTGGCTGGGACTGCAGGCTGAGCCACCATGCCCGGCTAATTTATTTATTTATTTTTTTTGGTGGAGATGGGGCTTCATGTTCGTGGGGCTGGTCTCAAACTCCCGACCTCAGGTTATCTGCCTGCCTCGTCCTCTCAGGGTGCTGGGATGGGAACAGGAATTAAAAGAAATTTAAAAATGTGTAAACAAAAACTCAGTTGTATGTAAAAAAACCCAATTCCCCCTGAGAAAGAGAAGAGCTAGAGTCCTTCAAAAAAAACTACTACCTCCTGCTTTTCTATGGCAGTGAGCCTTATCTCTCCTCCCTTCCCGGGCATTATAAAAACCCTAATTCCCTAACTGTACAACTGCAAGGTCACTAAACAAACTCAAGTTACAAAACATATTTTTCCTAAAAAAGGAAAAAATAATATAATGCATGATTCAATTGAACAATTATCTTTGTTTCTCACTTCTATCATATGCTTCACCCTGCACAGATCTACCCCCACCCCATAAAATGCTTAAAAGGTAAGTCTTGTTCAGAACTCAGTGCTTTAAATGTTAATCCGACTGGGCCAATGCACGTAAATAATTAATTAATAACCTCCTAAACCCCATCAGTCTCTCTAATTCCTTAAAAATCCTGCTACAGGATTGTAAGCATGAGCCACCGGGGTGCTGGGATTGCAGGTGTGAGCCACCGCACCCAGCCCAATTTATTAATCAGAAAAGAATAGATCGGCCTGGTGTGGTGGCTCACGCTTGTGATCCCAAGAATTTGGACAGCCGAGCGTGTTGGATCCCTTGAGCCTAGGAGTTCCAGACCAGCCTGGGCAACATGGTGAAACCGGGTCACTTTTTTTGTTTGTTTTTTGTTTTTGTTTTTTTTTGAGGCGGAGTTCCGCTCTTGTTGCCCAGGCTGGAGTGCAGTGGTGTGGACTCACCTCGCCGGGCCTCTGCCTCCCCGGTTTGGGTGGTTCTCCTGCCACAGCCTCCCTAGTGGCTGGGATTGCAGGCGTGAGCCATCATGCTCGGCTCTTTTTTTATTTTTTTGGTGGAGATGGGGTTTCTCCATGTTGGTCAGGCTGGTCTCAAACTCCCGACCTCAGGTTATCTGCCCGCCTCGGCCTCTAGGGGTGCTGGGATTTCAGGCGTGAGCCACTGCGCAAGTCCCAATTTATTAATCATAAAGCAACTGATCGGCCTGGCGTGGTGGCTCACGATTGATCCCAGGACTTTGTATGGCTGAGCGTGGGGGATCACTTGAGACTAGGAGTTCCAGACTGGCCTGGGCAACATGATGAAACTTGGTCTCTTTTTTTTTTTTTTTTTTTTTTTGAGACAGAATTTCGCTCTTGTTGACTGGCTGGAGTGCAGTGGCGTGGTTTCGGCTGCCTGTGGCCTCCGCCTCCAGGTTTGGTTGGTTTTCCTGCCTCAGCTTCCCAAGTGGCTGGGATTGCAGGTGTGAGCCCCTATGCCCGGCTTTTTTTTTTTTTTTTTTTTTTTTTTTTTTTTGGTAGAGACGGGGTTTCTTCATGTTTGTCAGGCTGATCTCAGACTCCCGACCTCAGGTGATCCGCCCGCCTCGGCCTCCCTGGGTGCTGGGATTGCAGGCTTGAGTCACCGTTCCTGGCCCAATTTATTAATTAGAAAGGAATAGATTGGCCTGGAGTGGTGGCTCATGCTTGTGATCCCAGGAATTTGGACGGCCGAGAGCGGCGGATCGCTTGAGCCTAGGAGTTCCAGACCAGCCTGGGCAACACGGTGAAACCCGGTCGCTTTGGGTTTTGTTTTTTTTTTTTTTTTTTTTTTTTTTTGAGGTAGAGTTTCGCTCTTGTTGCCCAGGCTGGAGTGCAGTGGCGTGGACTCAGCTCACTGGGCCTCTGCCTCCTGGGTTTGGGTGGTTCTCCTGCCTCAGCCTCCCGAGTGGCTGGGATTGCAGGTGTGAACCACCATACCTGCTAACTTTGTATTTTTTTATTTTTTTTTTTTAGTATAGACGAGTATTCTCCACATTGGTCAGGCTGGTCTCAAACTCCCGACCTCAGGTTATCCACCCGCCTCGGCCTCCCGGGGTGGTGCGATTCCAGGCGTGAGCCACCGTGACCGGCCCAATTTATTAATCAGAAAGGAATAGATTGGCCTGGCCTGGTGGCTCACGCTTGTGATCCCAGCTGGGACTTTGGACGGCCGAGCACTGAGGATCACTTGAGCCTAGGAGTTCCAGACCGGCCTGGGCAACGTGGTGAAACCGGTCTCTTTTTTTTTTTTTTTTTTTTGAGGCAGAGTTTCACTCTTGTTGCCCAGGCTGGAGTGCAGTGGCACGGTCTCGGCTCCCTGCGGCCTCCATCTCCCGGGTTTGGGTGGTCCTCCTGCCTTAGCCTCCTGAGTGGCTGGGATTGCAGGCGTGAGCCACCATGCCAAGTTAGTTTTTTATTTTTTTATTTTTTTGGTAGAGACTGGGTTTCTCCATGTTACTCGGGCTGGTCTCCTGCTCCTCACCTCAGGTGATCTGCCGGACTCCGCCTTCTGGGGTGCTGGGATTGCAGGCATGAGTCACTGCGCCTGACCCGACACCAGGTCTCTTAATGGAAAAACAAAACAAAAACCATAAAGATTAGCCTGGCCTGGTGGGCCCGGCGGGTAGTCCCAGCTACTCTGAAGGCTGATGTAGGAGGATTGCTTCAGCCAGGGGGTGAAGGTGGCAGTGAGCCATGTTGGCGCTGCTGCAGTCCAGACTGGGCGACAGAGCGGGACTGTGTCTCAGGAAAAGGGAAAGGAAAAAAAAATAAAGAAAAAGAAAGTATATAAAATTGCTAAATCAGGGAACAGCTTGACAGTATATTGAGAGAAATAGAGGCAAAGGTGAGCAGACACCAATGTTCACTTAGTGGAACTGCAGGTGTCCCCAGACAGGAGGCTGCTATTTTTCCAAAAGAAATCTACTATTGACTAAAAAAAAAAAAAAAAAAAAAAAAAAAAAAAAGTTGGTTTGTTACAATATACAAATAGCTACACTGTATATAGCCACCACCCTCTTCTAGCACTGCTGTAAGCCTTTTCCTGCTCTGAAAGAGCTACTGTTACCTCCATTGTAGAAAAAACAGATGCCAGAGGTTGTTGTGGAAGGACCAGGGAAACTATGAAATTTACTTGTACTTTTCAGACTTAAAGGTTCTTCCTGCTCTGCTCCATACACTGCAACATTTTAGTTAACATACCTCTTAAAATACTGGTCCTTTCTGTATTTGGAGGGACTCATCTTACAGTGTGAAGTTTTTTCTTGCACTAAGCATTTGGTCATAAGCTCATTTGTGTTTTATGTCAGGTTTAAGTACCTCTTCCGACATTGTTCAGTTAGGAATGTAAATATGAGCAAACAGGTATCTGATTGAAATAGATAACCTAGAAAAAATCACTTATGAGAAAGTCAAGAAAATGTGAACTCTGGATTTGTGGCTATTTTCAGAAAGTATTAATTTTTTGATATTTAATGGCGTTATGAGTATATTTTTAAAAATTCCTTGTCTTCTACAGATACATATAAGGTAATTTTAAAAATGATATGATATATAGGTTTTACTTCAAAATAATTCAGAGGAAGAAGGAATGTATATAAATGAAGTGGGAATACAAATGGAACAAAACAAGATGTGGCCAGGTGTGGTGGCTCACGCCTGTAATCCCAGCACTTTGGGAGGCCGAGGTGGGCAAATCACCTGATGTCAGGAGTTCAAGACCAGCCTGGCCAACGTGGTGAAACCCTATCTCTACTAAAAATACAAAAATTAGCCGGATGTTGTGACGGGTGCCTGTAATCCCAGCTACTCAGGAGGCTGAGGCAGGAGAATTGCTTGAACCTGGGAGGCAGAAGTTTCAGTAAGTCAAGATCATGCCACTGCACTCCAGCCTGGGCAACCACAGCAAAAGCCCACCTTTAAAAAAAAATACAAAACAAAAACTGGCCATGCCATGAATGAAAAATTGTTGATGATGTATGTATGTAGGGCAGTTATATTATTTTTCTTAACTTTTTTTAGGTTTGAAACTTTTTATTGAACACATGCAAACATCCCTTGATAACTGGGGCTGCTTCCCCATTATTCTCGTAGTAGCCCTTCTGATTTTCACTTCATCTTCATTCTTAGAGATTCTGGATATTTTTTTTTTGTTTGGCAAGATCAAATATGTCTTTGCAAGGACTATCCAGAATGTCTATTTTATGACAGAGGCTTTGCAGAGTACCTACTCAGCCATATTATCAGAAACAGAAATATTTTCCATATTCTTGTCTTGTCCTGTTTAGATTTTTAAAATTCCAAGAACAGTCACCTTCTACCAGACACTCTGATGTTGGAAGACAAAGCATATTTTGTAAGTGGCATGATTTCTGGGCTCAAATTTAGAACAGAGCCACAGCTTTCAACAACCGAAAAATAACTTACTGTGACGCACCAAATTTAGAAAGATGGAGATTATTATAAAAAGAAAACCTTAATTTACTATGTGACCTCTAAGTATCTGGGCTGAAAATTGTAAAGGTAGAAAGGTAAATCAAAAGATATAGAGACTGTAATCATGCACTTAATGAAGCACTAAATCAAAATATATTTGGCATACGTGAGTTTAATTTTATCACATTTTTTACTGGCACTATAGCTATTTGCAAGTACATATAAAACTACAGTGTTACATATAAACTACCAAAAAAGAACTTTTTAAGAAATGAGACTCATCTAGCAACTTTATTTAAAAGTTTATCTTCAGGGAATAGTTAAGGATGGCCGTACAAAAGGATTTAGCCATGGCATGAGAATGTTCTCCCTGGCAAACCAATGGAAATTATTAAATGTGCAAAATGGAACTGTTGGAATAAATTCTAATGCCTTCATATGATCGTATATTTAACCTTTTAAAATGATATTGAAGAGTTGCATACATTGACTTAAACACACATTTGTAACACATCACTGAATAGGAGAAATATGGGCCAGCAAAGAACATAGAGTTGGTCCAATTTCTACAAAAAAAAGAAGACTCTAATAGCATGACAGCAGGGAAGGGGGACTATGTCAACGTATGTGTGTATATGTATGTATATGCATAGCAAGCATGAACTTGAAAAGATATATTTCAAATTGTTTACACAGATTACCTCAGAGAGGTAAATAACTTTGGACTTTGGTGTTCTGTATTCCACATGCTCTGAATTTTCTTTTTTTATTTAAATAGAGATGGGATCTTAGCCAGGAGCAGTGGCTCACCCCTGTAATCCCAGCACTTTGGGAGGCTGAGGAGGGCGGATTGTTTGAGGCAGGAGTTCAAGACCAATCTGGCCAACACGGCAAAACTCTGTCTCAACTAAAAATTCAAAAATTAGCCAGGGGCGCAGTGGCTCATGCCTGTAACCCCAGACACTCGAGAGACTGAGGCATGAGAATTGCTTGAACCAGGAGGCAGAGGTTGCCGTGAGCCGAGATCACACCACGGCACTCCAGCCTGGGCAACAGACCAAGACTCTGTCAAAAAACAAAACAAAACAAAACAAAACAACAACCACAACAACAAAACAGTAATAAAGAGAAAACCTAATGGACAGGAGCAATGTCTCGTGCCTGTAATCCCAGTGCTTTGGGAGGCCAAGATGGGAGAATTGCTTGAGGCCAGGAGTTCAAGACTAGCATTGGCAACATAGTAAGACCTTTTCTCTACAAAAAAATTTAAAAATTAGCCAGGCATAGTAGTGCATGCTTATACTCCCAGCTACCTGGGAGGCTGAGGTGGGAGGATCACTTGAGCCTAAGAGTTGGAGGTTGCAGTAAGCTGTGATCATACCACCAGAGAGCCACGACCCCATCCCCGCCTCCTTCCTCTGTCCTACGCTAGCAATAAATAAGTTTCCCAGCCACAAATAATTATTAGAACCTCCTCCCCATGTGCCAGCTCCAACCTCTGCTAGGTATGATACAGGGGCAGCCCTACCCTCTGGAATATACAAAATGTTACACAGACACAGTATGTACACCGGGGAAGGTGGGCCACCCCAGCAGCCCATGCCCTCGCTGGTCCACAGTTAGCCCCGCTTTCCGGCCTCAGCTACCTCTCTGAATAAGAAGATGGGAGCCCCCCTGAGGGAAACGTTGCCATGGTGAGAGTAAGGGGACCATCAGGCCTCCTCCAAACAAACCAACTCCACCAGCCTCTGGCTCTTAAATAACAATCATCATCATCATCCAGAAATTTAGGGACTCAGCCCTGCTCAAGGTGGCAAATGGTCTGTTTGTCTTTCCCCATTAGACAGAGGTCTTGTGCTGCTACCCTAATTGTAAAGGGGTGCCTGGGAAGAGGTGGTAGGGACATGGTGGCGGTGGAGACTCCAGCCCCACTTCTCCAGGCTTTGCTGACAGGGGCCTGCTTTTAATTTTTATTTTTATTCCATGACTTTTTAAAAAAATCCCATAACTTATTTTTCATAACTTTTTTTGTAACTTTTCATAAAACTTTTTTCTACTTTTTTCCCAGAAGTTTTTTTGCCACAACTTTTTTACATTTTTATCCCATAACTTTTTCACCCCATAACTTTTTTAAATAAAGTTATTTAATAAAATAACTTTTTATAAAACTTTAATAAAAGTTTTTTAATAAACCCATAACTTTTTTATTTTGGTTTTTAATAAACACTTGCATAGTTATATTACAACTTTGTAAAAATGAAACACATTATCTCATGCCAAGCATGCCCAGCATTTGCACAGTATCAATACCTTTAATACTATAGTTTTCAAGAAACGCAAAATAAAATTTTAAGGCAAAAACAACACATTCAAACAACTTAATAATTTATTACATTACAGTGGCATCACACCAGCAGTCAATAAGGCCACTCTAGGGAAAAATCTTTCAGTATTTCCATTACACATTCTGTTTACAATAATTCATAAACTGGTAAAATTCATTCTAAGAAAACTTGGCAAATAAAACTTTGGACTGGAATTGGCATTTCTTTCTCTGCTTTTCGTTCCCACTGTTTCTTTCTTTTATACTACAGTATTCATATTTTAAAATGTTTTAAATTATTTCAGAACATTAAGATAGCAGTTACATATTTTAATAGTTATATTATTTTAAAACGACTCTTTAAAATTAAGTTTTAGAGAAACTATATTATGGATAGGGCTGATTTACATTTTCAAATTTTCTAAAATCAGCTTTGGTTTTAGAGCTGATTTTTTTTTTCATTTCTGGAAAATTATCAGGTTTAATCAAATACTTTTAAAATGATTATTATATATTGCCATCTTTAAATAGGTATTTTGATTCTTCCTACAGAAATTAAAATGTATTCAGTGGAACTCACAGTTTAAAATTCTGTGTTTCTGATGAACTCTAACATTCCAATGTTGCCTTCTAAGCAAACTGAAAGCTGCCTTATACCGAATGAGGAAGAGCACAAATACTCGGCTGAATGAGGTATCGCAAAAGACTGCATGCACTTTGGAGAAAGACTTAAGTTATTGTCATACAATTTCCATTCTTTTTAGCTTTTTCTTAAATATATGACAAATACCTACACAAAGAGTGGTATTTCAGTCAATATAGTAAATTTATTTTCCAGACTGACCTTCAGCTTAAATATGCCAGTGTGTGATTTAATCCATAGGCACCTCATGAACACATTATTGTCAGATTGGTTACAGATGCTAAACGCTATCCGAAGGTCATTCCTAGTCACTGATATTTATCAGGGTAAAAGTGAAGTGATTTCAACGATAAAAGTACCTTTGAAATAATTTATCAATGTATTAGATAAACCCAGTTTCAGAATGATAAAAGAAAAAACGTTAGACCAAATAATGTGGCTGATTAACAGTGGTCCGATTTCTAGCCCGAGGGTTTAAAATGCTCTTAAAGTAACCGTCTTTAAACTGAACTCAAAGAATGCAAAAGCGGCAAGTTCAGAAAATAAAAGGCGAGAACAGGACTTTAAGTGCATTTTAAACCCACGGGCTACAAATCGTACCACTGTTAATTAGCCGCATTATTTGGTCTAACATTTTTTCTTTATCATTCTGAAACTGGGTTTATCTAATACATTGATACATTCATAAAATTTGGAAGAGTCAGTTGAAGTCACAAGGACCGAATATTTGCACTCTTTCAGTGAATGCCAGCAAATCTGTTATTCCATCGGTAAAATCGTATTGTTGCTCTCCTGTTAATGTCATATTTATAGAAGTATCATGAGGATGCCAAATGCTAAAAATGGAGATGATCTAGTAACTAGAAATCCCCACCGCAGGGAGCACACACACCTATCTCCCTGCATCCTAACAATGTGATGTGTTTTGGAACACAGACATTAGAACTTCATGAAGTTTTAACTGTTGAGTCTTTCCCAAGCATCATCAAGTTACGATTTAGGCAATATATAACTGAAATGCATTCATTCATCATGCATAGGCACAATCACATAAATATTGCACAAAATATGTCCCGAACAGAAACCCAGAGGTACAAAAACATATTTCACTTTGTAAAGAAGTCTGTGAGAAAATATAACTCTGTGATTGTATAGACACGTTTCCTGATAATACATTGACATTCACGAACAGTAGATTGCACTGCAGTTTGTACACATTTTAAGTTTCATAAACTTCTCCTTGATTTTCAAAGATAGTATAATACCGTCTACTAAAACTCCTTTTTGTTTCAACTAAGTATCTCACATATATTAGTTTATAATAATGTTTCTATTATTTTTTAAAGTGTTTTCCATTCAAGGAAAAGGAAGTAAATTCCTATGTCAGAGTAACCAAGGTGGTTGAAGAATAGGTATTAGCCAAAGAGGTCTAGATGGTAAAATCAATCTTCAAGCCTCAAAGAATATCCGTGAACAGAGAGGAATTCCAGGTGTCACACAGCTTTCCTTCACTCTAATTCATTCTTGACTAGAGCCTGTATGCCTGTTCCAGGGACGTTTGAACTCATAAAGGATTTGTTATGATCTTCACTAAATACATTAAGAAGAATGCCAACCAGTGCCCTTTTGTGTACTGGGACATGTAGTCATGTGATTAAAACAGGTAACATGAACTCTGACTTTAAAATGTATTGTAGATACAAATGCTCTAAGCTAGGAAAGGTTTTCCACATCCACAGTCAACGATGGGAACCTTTCATTCCTCAGAAATAAGCCCTTTTTAGGTCATCCAAAAAGAGTGCAACTGCTGCAGCTCATGATGCAATATCTTCATGAGCCCAGAGCACATAGAAATCCTAAGGGAACCATCATAATACACTGCTAATTCCTGGCACCGGAACAGATGAAACACACTCTATCCTGCACATACCTGCCAGAGGAGGCCACTTTCCTCTTCTGTGAGATTTAAAAAGCTCCCCCAAAAGGTTATCACTCCCATCACCAATACACAGAAAATGGAGGAAAGGCTGTTTCCAGTTCTTGGCCTTTAAACAACTCTAAATGTCAGTACTCATAGTGGCATATTACAAAGTAATAAACAGTGCACACTTGGGGGCAAACTACATATTGAGCTAACGAAGAGCTCACTGTGATTAAGATTAGATCAAACAACAGCAGAACATAGGCAAATTTTGTCTGAATTCTGTAGTGAATATACATGCTGCAATAACATTAAAAAAGCATGGCAGCCTATTCCAAACCAGCGAGAACAGTTTTGGGCAAAGAGTGGGTCTTTGTGTGTTTGAACTCCCACCACGTAAGGGCAAACTCGATATGCATGCTAATGACCTACAATTATGAAATTAAAAAAGAAAAATGCTAAAAGGATGCCAGAGTGAACATCAGTGAGAGCCACAGACACCCACTCTCTTTTAACTTTTTATAAATAAACTTAAACTATAAATTAGAAACACAAATAATCATGAGTGACTCTAACATTCAAAGGAAGTAAATGAATTGTGTAGGAGATTAACCCCATAACTTGGTTTCTTATTTAAAAATTTCTTGAGCAGCTGTTTGATGATGGTGATGTTTATCTCCTTCTTCTTGGCAGCCAAGCCCAGCAAAAGAATGGCACACAGCAGTTGCTGCCCAAGCCTGGGTGCTCCTGGTGGTCCTGCACGATCGGCTGTGCAGTAGGCTTGTCAAGGAGAGGATCCTCCCTGGCCTCTCCTTGGGCAGAGGAGGTGAGGCTCACCTCACAAAGATCTTTGGAGAGAGGGAGGCAGGGATCTGAGCACAGTGGGAGCCCCCTCTTCCTGCCTGCCCACCCCACCTGAGGGCTCTACTCACCACCATGCTTGTCTGCAGCCCCAAGCTCCTGGGGGGCTGGGGCTCCTGGACCGGGCTCATCAGCAGGGTTGTGGGCAGCGGCCAGGAATTTTCTGTGCCCATTGTTGTAGTTGCTGTAAGCCGCAATACCATCTGCTGCAGCTCCAGCAGCTTCACCTGGAGGGAGGGGTGCTCAGCTGCCATGCCGCTGCCTGCGCCCACCCTCACACCCACCCCCACCCCCACCCCCACAGAGATGTTGCACACCCTACCTTCATCTCCTCCCTGAGCTCCAGCCTGATGGTGTCCTCCTCCCAGTGCTGCATCTTTGGCACGGCCCCCTGGTTCTGATAAAAGGTGATGGGTTTTCCTGCGGGAGGACAGGGCTCATACGCTGGGGCCCCTCCAACGGCCCTGTAGCTCCCCCTGCCGTGCCCTGGCCTCCCACTCACTGATGGCATCTCTCTCGCCAGTGGTGGATGAAGCAGAGTTCTTTTTTCTTCACCAGCTCACTCAGGTCTGCCTTCTCCTCCAGGTGGTCCATAAAGCTGCTCTGGAGCCAAAATATTGCAGTCACATCTCGGCAGCGACCTGCCCTCAGGTGGCATTTTCAAGTCATGGAGAAGGTGGAGGTGAGTCCTGCCATGGGCCAGCTTCTCCGTGACTTCCTGCAGGGCCCAGTGGGTCTCCCCACTCACAGACTCGCCCCCAGGCCCTGGGGCTCCAGGGCCTCTGGCTGCCTCTGGCTCCTTCTGGGCCGAGGCCACCGGGTGAGCCAGGCGCTGGCAGCATACCCTCTGCTCTTTCACCTGCTCTTGTAACTGTGCCTGCTTCTCCTGGGCACTAGCTCCAGCGGACTTGAAAAATGCCACCTGAGGGCAAGATGTGAGCATTCTTCTAGGGGCATACACAGAAGAAATGGGGCAGAGAGGTGGAGCGCAGCCCCTTCCCTTGGGGCCTCAGAGAGTGCACCTGTTGGCCACAGGTGAAATGGTGTCTGACCACTGGCTCTCGGAAGGGGTGAGGGTCCAGAGAAATCAGAAGGCAGGGAAACGAAGAGCATAAAGGGGTCTTGGAGGGACCACAGAGAAAGGTGGCAAAATGGGTGCAGGGGGAGTCAGGCTCACCATGGCCTCCCTGCTCTCCAGGTCCTCTGGGACACTCGGCATGGGCTGAGGTGCCTCCTCCCCCTCACTGTCCAGATGTTCTCCTCCGTGTCCTGTGGGGGGTGGCCAGAGGGGTCTTCAGACAACCCAACAAGGGAGGTACTGTGGGCCCACCTCTACCTCCACCCTCACTGTGTAATCCTGAGCCAGCCCCTCCCCAGAGAGGAATGAGCTGTTGTTCTTTATTTTTACTTTTAAGAATCAAGATCTTGCTATTCCGCCCAGGCACATTCCCACTACTGGTCGATGTGGGAGTTCTGACCTGCTCCCTTTCTGACCTTGGCCAGTTCAGCCATCCTTAGGCAACTTGGTGACCCCCCGCTCACAGGAGGTCACCACACTGATGCCCAACTTAGTGCAGGCACCCGGTCGGCATAATGACCAGCTGTTCTAAAGGTCTCTTCCAACTCCTCAATCCTATGCTGCTAGCAGTCCCCCCTTCCTCCTGGGGCTCTCTCCTCTTCCTCTGAGCGGTCTCCCGTACCTTCCCCAGGGAGAGCCATGAGGCTCAGCTGGGCTGTTAGCTGCTGGTTCTGCTGGCTGGCAGCTTCCAGGTGCTCCTAAGGGGCCAGGAAAGAGTGAGAAGGGATGGAGTTTGCCAGGTCGTCCCCCTCACGGCCCCATCCTCCGCAGCTCCCTCCCCTGGGTCTCCTGCAACTTTTGGCAGGCCATGTCAGCCACTGCTTTGCCCCAAGCTTCCTGCTGCTGCAGCTGGTTCATTAGCTGGGTCTGCTGCAGTCACTGCCTGTACAGCGCCTCCTTCTCACAGGTCAGCTGCTGATAGGCGGCCACCTGCTGCTGATAGGTGGCCACGTACTGCTGCAGGTGACCCAGGTAATGGTCTGGCTGCTGCTGCAGACTCTGAGCCTCTTGGCTCTTCAGCTCCACCTGCAGGAAGACCCTGGGTGTGAGGGCACGTGGTGGCTGGTTTCCAGATTCTGGGCCCATTAATAGGGTAGCGAGGGCACTGTGGGGCTCTGTCAGCTGCCCAGGCCCCTGTCCCCTTACTCCAGGCCTAAGTGACTGCCTCCCTTTCCTAGAACCCCATGCCTCCTTCCCCAGCCTCAAATCTCATACCCTCTTCTCATTTAATCCTCAGCACCTCTGTAAGGAAAATGCTAACTTCCCTTTGAAGTTAAAGAAACAGAGACTTAGAGATGCAAAGTACTTGAATGGTGACCAGTGGAACCGAGGCTGGAATCCAGTTTTAATCTAAGGAGTCTTTTTGTTTTGTTTTCAGACAAGAGTGTCACTCTGTGGCCCAGGCTGGAGTGCAGTGGTGCAATCTCAGCTCACTGCAACCTCCACCTCCTGGGTTGAAGCAATTCTCGTGCCTCAGCCTCCCGAGTAGGTGGAATTACAGTCATGTGCCACAATGTCCTGCTAATTTTTTTTTTTTTTTTTTTTTGTAATTTTAGTAGAGATGAGGTTTTACCACATTGGCCAGGCTGATCTCAAACTCCCGACCTCAAGTGATTCTCCTGCCTCAGCCTCCCAAAGTGCTGGGATTATAGGCATGAGCCACTGCACCTGGCATAAGGAGCCTGTTATACCACTGTCTCTTCCCCTGTGATTGGGGGCTCCATGCCTCTAGCTAGGATGATGATGTCCAGACCTGAGAGGAGCCCAGGGCTACCCACCTTTAAAAGTCAGAGGCAGGAAGCAAGAAACAGGACTGCCCTGGGGGGTGCTGTGGTCACCAGCCCCCAGGCTGGAAGCTGCCTCTGGCCTGGTACCTCCCCTCCCCAGAGGCTGCTGCCCGCCTCCCAGCCCTTCTTGGATGGGGTGGAGGTTTCCGACTCCTTCACCTCACCAAGCTTCTCCTGTAGCTCCTTTACTTGCTGCTCCAACTGCAGTGCGCTCTTGTTCTCATTGTTCTGGACAGAGAGAAGCAATCAGCAGCCACCCACTGCAGCTGGAGACCCCAGAACTTGGTGTCTGCCTCCCATGGCACTGGGAAGGCTGGAGACAGGTTAGAAAAATCACCCCCTCTCTCCCACAGCCACCTGGCTCACAGGTGCCTTTAGAAGTAACATTTCATGTGAGGGCTACACTGCCCCATTTTAGAGGTGGGGAAACAAAGGCCCGGAGGGCTAGGGAGGAGGGCAGGCTCCCCAGCTGGGGCAACGCACTGGCTCCTCGAAGACGCTCTGTGGCTTGGCCAGCTGCTGAAGGCTCTTGTGCTGCTCCTGAATCCTCTCTTCCTGCTTCCGAAGCCTCTCTTCCTGCTCCCGAATCCTCTCTTCTTGTCCCCGGTTCAGGAGACTTATGCGCTGATTGTTTTTGACCTGGGCCTGGAGCGCTCCTGCCACTCTCTCTAGTTCCTTCCTCAGGTGCTGCAGCTCCACCTCAGAGGGCACTGCTGGGGGCTCCGGGGGCAAGGGTTCAGCTGAGAAAGGAAGCAGATAATAAGGGCCTCTGGATTCTCGGAAAAGAAAAAACCTCCTCTTGGTCCACAGCTCCTCTCAGGCTCCTCAAACTTGGCCTCACTGCTAATGATTCCTCACACCCAGATGGTAGCCAGTCTTCCAGAGCACTTTCAGAGAAAGAGCACTGCGGGTGGCTGACAACGGGCCCTCTTTGCTGATGGGGACACTGAGGCTCATTGAGATGACAAGACTTGCCGTCTCCTGGCACAGACCTCTTTCCCTCTGCCTCAAAGCCCTTCCATCCACCCACCTCCCTGGGGCACTCTAAGCCACCCTCACAGCCCTCTGATGCCAGTCCTGCTCCCAGGTCATGCCAGCCCCATCTTACCCATCTGGTTTTTGAGTTTGGACAAGCTCCTCTCCAGCTTCTCTACCCGACGCATATCTTGCTGCTTCTCTTTCTTTAATGTGCAAATCTGCCCAAAGCACAAGGGGAAAGGGCCCTGGAGAGAGGGGCTGGAGGCTGGACAGGCTGCCCTCTCCCTCTCTGCCCCCACCTCCACAAAGCCCAGACCCATGACCACCTCTGGCTGTACTATTCCCATTTTACAGATGACCAGAAAGATCCAGTGACCTATCTAATGTGGGGGGGCTGAAGGGTCAGATCTCACCTCCTGCGACATTTTTCTCATCCTCTGCTGCCACCGGGCCCTCTCTCCTTTTAGATGTTCAGCATATTCATGTCTTTCTAATTGGAGTTGTTGAAATGACTCCTTCAACTGCAAGAATGGGCACAGAAGTTAGGAAGGGCTGTCACTGGTCCTCACCTGCTCCTGGCCACCTGGGGTCATCTTCCTTCCACATAACTCCCTCAGAAAACCTCACCTGTGTCAGCTGCACTTTCAGTAGTGCCTCCTCCCGCATGGACTGCTCTAACTTCCACTCCGTACCTGCTTTACTGGGGCTGGACAACTGGATGGCAAAGAGTGAGAAGTTTCAATCTGGAGAGCCTGGGCATTTCCACACAGTGCCCCTTAACAGGGCTAGGGCTAGGCCCAATATACAACTCGGTCAGTAAAGATCATGGCATTTCCAAGCCCATGGTCTGGTTTTTAAAAGAACACAGTAAAGTTGGAACGGACAGGGAATGAGATTGAATTTATAGCTGGCTAACAGAGGCCCAGAGAGATCAGATAATATTGCTATTGTTATTACCGTTATTATTACCACTGTTTGAACTTTTATGGAGTGCTTCACCAGATACCATGCTAGCAATCCCATTTAATCCTCACAACCACAGATAGGAAGGGGAAAATTAATCTTTTGTTCACTTTTTGAAAGGATGATACATTTGCATAGTCCAAAACTCAGAAGGTACAGAAGGGAAGTATCTCCCGGCCATCTTGTTGCTCTCTCCTGAATTTTTTATGAACCCTTGCAGACATGTTTTATGTATATTATCATAGTATGTACACACACACACACACACACACACACACATGCACACGTTTCCTCTTTCTACAGAAATGGTAACATACTAAAGGTACTCTTCTGTACCTTCACAGTACAAGTACCCAATACCCCACCTAGGACTTGCCCAAGACCACAGCCAGGTAAGGGCGGGGCAGGCACTTGGCCTCCAAGCTCTGCGTCCAGTGCTCACTCCACACAGTGACCCCCAACTCACCCACAGCAGCTGACTCAGCCCCAGGCTGCCACTAAAAACCATACAAAAAAGTAGCAAGAAATGGCCATGCTGCCTTCTGGGCAGGACACGCCATCCTGCAGAAGGGACCTTTAGGCTCACTCCTCCATCTGCAAAGGCAGACTCCCAGGGGATGGGGCAGGTGGTTGGACTCACCTGGTTTGCCTTCTTCTTCTGTGTGGCCATGACATCAGAGAGAACACTCTCTAACTCTCCTTTACGCTGCAATGAATGTTGCAGGCGGACAGCCAGATCCTTGGACTTTTCTGTAATGAGAGAGTTGAGATGGGGCCCAAAGGACTCCCCCTGAAGACCTGTCAAAGTGCCAGGTTGAAGGATGACAGGGTGCCCAGATTCCCACCTTCAAAGTATCTGAGAGAACGTTTCATGTGGTACAGGTCCGTATTTAGTTCCTCTTTCTGTATGTTCAATGTCTGGATTTGAACCTTTGGGAGAAAAGCCAAGCAAGTGCTGAAAGAGAAGGAAAGAAACCTTCTCCGGAGGACAGGAGGAAACTGCACACCCTCCACTCACCTCTAGCACCCTTTTGGCTTTCTGTTTCTTGATGTTTGCTTTCTTTTCCTGTAGGAAGAGGAAGACAGAGCTCTTACCAGGGGGAGGCAGAGATGGCACAGCAAGAGACATGCCCCCAGAATGCCACCAATGCCCCAGGACAGGCCCACCCATGGGACCAGGTTATCGGGGCCCTGAGGGGATGGGGTGGAATCTGAAGGGTGAGCCTTCTTCCAGCAGTCATGTTGCAAGGAAACGAAATCACGTTACTTCTTCCAGCTGATGTTCCACTTGTTTCTTCTGTTGTTTCTGTGGGGAGAGTCAAATAAGGTGATGGAGGGTGGCCCCCTCAACTCTATTCCCCAGACCAGGAAGCGGTAGGCAGGGGCCAGGAATGGATTTTAAAGGCAAAGTTCTCAGACATAATGGGAACACGAACTGGTAAACTCTCCTCAAGCTCCCAAGGACAGAGGATTTGGGTCTTTGTGGGCTTTTGCCCACAGCCACAGAACTCAAAGTCTGAATCTGGAATCTCTTGAGAGGACAGCAACATAAACCTCTAGAGATGGAGTTTCAGAAAGGCCCCTCCTTCTGGCAGCTTGTGATTTAGAAAAGTGGGTTCATTCAATAAACACCTACTGAGCACGTATGGGCCAGGTACGGTTCTTCACAGCAGATATAGGATAGAAAAGGACAGACAGGAGCCCTTAGCCCTGAGGTTTCCATTCTCGGGGGCCTTTAAATCTCAGACTCGAGAGCTAACAGAGACCTTTGATACTCACTACCTCCTCTGGAAACACGAGCCCAAAAAGGAGAGGTGGCTTGTCCAGAATCAAAGAGCAAATTAGGGACTGAGTCATGGCAGAAATACGGGGCCCTTGACAACCAGTCAGGCTAGCACTTCCCCAAGAGGCAACAACCCCAGGGCGTGTGTAGCAAGGACTCGAGCAGGGGTGTCTGGAGAGGAGAGAGTCGGCAAAGAGGGCAGCAAAAGAAGAGCCATGCTGCATGCTCTGGGGTCCCTCCAGGTGAGGCCTGGGCACCCAAGCTCCCTATTTGTCCCGGGCACCAGGGACCCCCAGCCCCTTTCTTCAGGGCCCCAAGGGGAAACTGGAGCCCAGGATTGGCAGCGTGGAATCAGGGGACCCCACCGGACTCTTACCAAAGATTTGATGGTGTTCTTCAGTTGACTGATTTCTACGGACCTTGAATCCAGGACTACTGCTCGTTCTTGGCACGGGCTCTGAGGTTCATGCAGAGAGGAGGAGGTGGAGCAGGAGTCGGGGGAGAGGTAGAGAGAACAATCATTAGGGCTGGGGTGTGTGGGCTGTCTCAGCTGGCAGAGGGGCACCCAGTCCCTCCTGGAGGAGGAGGTTGGAGGGCTGACCCGAAGGGTCACTGCACCTCTGCCCAGAGCCTCTTACCTCCAGATCTTTCAGGGTAGCAGATGATGTAGGGCCTTCCCTGTGAAAACCTGTTGCTGACTACAAGAGATGAGAGTGCACATGGAGATGTTCTGTCCCCCACAGTGTCTGAGCCCTCTGACTTCCTTTCTTCCCCATCAACTGGCAACATTTTCTTTTCTGCCTATCTTGGACCCTTTGTCCCATAACTCCTTTGTGCCAACTTCTCTCATGGTTCTTATCTCCCCACCATCCCATCCTGGGGCCCTTTCAGTGACTCCTGATGGCAAGTGGCTGTTCTCATTGTCCTGGCTTCCCCTTGAGACTGGGGATGAGGAAAATCAAACAGCAAAGACCATATCCTGGGTGTCCTGAGTGTTTACAGCAGGCCATGTACTAGGGATTAACATAAAAACAACAATAACAAATCTCATGAAAATTTCACAAATGGAAGTGAAACAATAACACCTCTATTATACAGATGTGAAAAGAGAGGCCCGATGAGGTCTAGCAACTTGCCCTAAATCATATCCCTAGCAGAGCAGATGGAGAGGCAGGATTCAAACCCAGAATTCCTTTTTTTTTTTTTTCTTTGAGACAGAGTCTTGCTCTGTCACCAGGCTGGAGTGCGGTGGCATAATCTTGGCTACTGCAAGCTCCACCTCCCAGGTTCACACCATTCTCTTGCCTCAGCCTTCTGAGTAGCTGGGACTACAGGCACACGCCACCACGCTTGGCTAATGTTTTTGTATTTTTAGTAGAGACAGGGTTTCACCGTGTTAACCAGGATGGTCTCGATCTCCTGACGTCATGATCCGCCTGCCTTGGCCTCCCAAAGTGCTAGGATTACAGGCGTGGGCCACCACACCCGGCTAAAGCCAGAATTCTTAACCCGTACCCAGCAGTCCATCCACAATCTTAACAATTACCCTCTATTGCCCCTTGGGCCCCCTGTCCCCAGAAGCCTGGTCAGCCAAGACTCACATCCCCAGGTGGCTGGCAACCACCAGAAGTGGCTGTCTGAGGGATACTGCCATTTGTTTTCCTGTTCCTGTTCGCTCCTGCTGGAACTCTAGGGCTGTTTTTCTGCCAATATTCTTTTAACTGTTGGAAAGAAGAGCAGTAATACTCATGAGAACCGTCAGCCCCTACAGCCACATCCTCCTTTACAGTTTTTACAAAATACACTTACACACTATCTGATTTAATGACACCAACAACTGTACAAGGTGTTGTCACACTCATTTAGTGACTGAGAAGGATTGATATCATGGCTAGAAAAAAAAAAAGAAAAAGGCAATACTGGCACTTTGAAACTCAGTCTTCTGACTCCAAGCTCTGAGGTTTTGCCAAGAATCAGCAGCTGCCAGGGACCAAAACCAGAGGCAGAGGTAGAAAAGTAAACATTAAGTAGGCAGGAACTGTATGCCATGTGGTTTAGAGTCATACATCCTCACACGTCTGTTAGTGTGAAGAAGTGCACCAGTACCTCTCAAACTTTTATATCAATGTGTCCTCACGGCAGAAGGCAGCCTTTCTCTTAAATCAGAATTCATCAGAAAGAGGACAACCCAAGCCTCATTTCAGAGAGAGGGCTGGTATACTCTTAGAAACCTATGTGACTGTCATCCCTAAGTATATTCATGTTTTTTCTCTTGATCTCAAGAGAATCAAGGGAAACTGATGCTTCAGAAAGATGTCCCACATTTATCCTGTGGCACTCAAAGTACCCAAGGTTGAGATAATATGAGGAAGATTCAAGGTGTCAAGTTCAGTTTCCCAAGATCTATTCCACAGAAGATGAGCAAATGTCACTTCAGAGACCACTGACTGAAGGAGAGTCTGGTCCCAGAACCATGGAGAATTAGAATATGAGGTGGAGAACTCAGAAAAAAAATGTTAAAATCTCTCTGGAAAGTAGAAGCCTGGGAGAAAACCAAACCAAACCCATTCTCTCATTGCCACCCAGAGATACTGTCAATGTTTTGAGTTCATGGGGGAAGTGTAGGCTTTTCCCACCGTCAACATCTGTAAGGGAGTGAGGCAGCCTGGAACCTCTTGCTCCTAGGTCCCATAGTCTCCATTCCCCTTCCAGCTGGAAATTTGTCCTGTGACCAGAGGAACCAGAAACGGGGTGAGAACGCTTAGGGGACTGGGTCATAAGATCAAAGGCCAGTCTTGCAGTAACGGCAGTTACTAGGTGGGCTGTGACATCACAACATTCCAATCCTCCTGGTCAGGGGGAGGGACCGTGTCAGCACCATGTCTAAGTCGCCGCTCCACGATGGGGGAGGGAAGCACAGGGTTGGGACCCAGCTCCTTGGAGACGCCAGCACAAAGAACCCAGGGAGGTCGACCTTGAGGCAGCAGGAGGGGAGGGCAGAGTCTGCAGCAGGGAGTCCCAGGAGTCACCAGCCCAAAGTCACCCAGGGATGATTGGCGAGGGTGGGGCCTGGCTCCTTGGAGATGAGAGCCCAAAGAGCCCAGGGAGATCAAGCTTGGGGCGGCAGGAGATGAGGGCCCAGTAACGGAGCGGGAAGTCCCAGGAGTCACCCACCCAAAGTCACCCTGGGGTGATTGGCGAGGGCAAGGACTGGGCTGCTTTCTGAAGGGGTGGGGCTGACTGACAAAACTTTGATGGGGGTAGCCCAAGGCACCGGGGTTGGGGGGAACAGTCCAGTGTGCCTCAGGAGTCGTATAGACTCTGGCAGGGGTCTTGTCATCAGAGGGGATCTGTGGCTGGGTTGAGGGGCTATGACCTAGTGCGTTTTTACCTTTTTCTTGGCTGCAGCCAATTTGTTGTGTTGAGTTTCTTCTGCCATCGCAGGGTGGGGAGGGAGGCAGGGTTGGGGCCACAGCAGCAAAATCGCAATGAGAACCGATCAAGGCCTCCAGTCACCTTCCAGGCAGCTGTGTGACTGAGCCAGAGGAGGCGTAACCAGGGCCCCAGTAGAATGCGGAATAGGGGCGTGGCCTTAATGCTCCAAGCCCATTGGTCAATGAGAAAGATGAAAGGGAAAGGGGGCGTGGCCAGACAGCAGCGTGTCCAGAGGGCCCTGTGGCTCACAAGGAAAGCTGCCCATGCGACC
Organism: Homo sapiens; assembly: GCF_000001405.40. NCBI lineage: Eukaryota > Metazoa > Chordata > Mammalia > Primates > Hominidae > Homo > Homo sapiens. The sequence goes on from NC_000015.10 coordinate 22,618,024, forward strand.
GCTCTCCGCACCCACTCTAAGAGAGGGGAGAGGCCTCCCACTCTGGAAGAGAAGAGGGGCCAGCTTTTGCTTTAACAGCTTTAAAACTTTAAAAAATATATGTGTGTATACTTTATATATATATGTGTGTCCGTGTGTGTGTATCTGTGTTTTTCTCTATAGCTGTCTTCATTATCCAGCTTCTATGCAAGGTCTATGATTTTGGCCTACATTTTTCATCTTTGATTACAGTATAAAAATTACCAGTATTATCTTAACTGAGATACAGATCCTATAAAAATGGAAAATGCATAGCATGCTTGATGATTAATGAAGCAGACTATATTATCCAACATTCTAATAAGATAAAATAATCACAATGATTTCTCTTTTTTGGAAAAATGTTTCTCTTATTCTCCTACGTTTTCGTTAAGATTTTTTTTCTTAAACAAGAAACATGTCTAATATCTGTAAAAACACAAAGCTTTTGGGCCGGGTGCAGTGGCTCATGCCTGTAATTCCAGGACTTTGAGAGCCCAAGGTGGGTGGATCATGACGTCAGGAGATCGAGACCATCCTGGCTAACACGGTGAAACCCCATCTCTACTAAAAATACAAAAAAGGCCGGATGTGGTGGCAGGCAGCTGTAGTCTCAGCTACTTGGGAGGCTGAGGCAGGAGAATGACATGAACCCCCGAGGTGGAGCTTGCAGTGAGCCAAGATCATGCTGCTGCACTCCAGCCTGGGCTACAGAGCAAGACTCCATCTCAATTAATTAATTAATTTATTTATTTATTAATAAAAATAAAAAATTAATAGTAAGAGCAATGTGAACAAAAGATGCAATAAAATAATTTAGAAAATACAAACTATTAAAAAATAGATTTTAAAACTTGTGCAACAAAGTCAAACAGCACCCAACGAAAATGTATACCCTTACATGTTTGTTTAAAAAGCAATTTAAATTACATTGATCCACTAAACTAGGAAAAGCAAAACAAACAAAAAGGGGGAAATAATTAAGACATAAGGAAAAAGGAAAAAGAAAAACCACTAGATTTAAAAAATAAAACTGAAGGAGGATTCTTTCAAAAGACTGAGGAAAATAAAACAGTCAAACCTCTGATAAGTAATCAAGATAAAGAAAACTTTGAAGAGAAAAGGGCATATAGCCACATGTGAATATGATGCAAAAAGTGAAAACTTTACACATCTTTACAACACCTTAGAAGTATGGATGACATGTTCATTTTTTTTTTTTTTTTTTTTTTGAGACGGAGTCTCGCTCTGTCACCCACGCTGGAGTGCAGTGGCGTGATCTTGGCTCACTGCAAGCTCCACCTCCCGGGTTCACAACATTCTCCTGCCTCAACCTCCTGAGTAGCTGGGACTACAGGCGCCCGCCACCACGCCTGGCTAATTTTTTGTATTTTGGCTTAGTAGAGACGGGGTTTCACCATGTTAGCCAGGATGGTCTCAATCTCCTGACCTCGTGATCCACCCGCCTCGGCCTCCCAAAGTGCTGGGATTACAGGCATGAGCCGTCGCACCCGGCCAAAGTGCTCATTTTTTTTTAAGAACCTACAGTTACGAAAACTAACTGAAGAAGTGGGAAATCTGGAGACCAATATGCAGAAGAAGGAAAAAGACAAAGACTCATCCTCCAAATTGGATATTTATTTAAACCAGAATTTGTCAGCCTCAGCAATATTGATATATTGGGCCAGATAATTCTTTGTGGAGGGTTCTCCTGGTGTGTTGTCGGGCATTTAGTAACATTCCCTCTACCCACAGAATGCCAATAAGACCTCCCGACCATGACCAGTTGTGACCACAAAAATGTCTCCAGATATTTCCAAACGTCCCATAGGAGGCAAAATACTCCTGCAGTTGAAAATTACTGTGTAAACCAGATCTACATCCTAGATCTTAGAAAAAAGATGTAAAGCTTCCCAACTCAGCCCTGCATACCCTTGATACTGAAATGAAATAACAGCCTTAAAGGAAACAAACAAAACTATAATCTTATTTAATACAGAAGAATGCAAAAATAAAACATTACCATAGCCATTCTAACAGTGTTTATTATAGGAATGCAAAGACAATTCAAAATTATGAAAATTTCATCAGGCAATTCACAAATTATATTTCTACATATAATTGAAGGCACAATCATGAAAAACAAAGTAGCTCTATATGCATTAAGTCCATGATCTATTCAGTGAAAAACACAAGTTGCACATGTCTTACAGAAGGAAAACTTAACACTGAACATAGATTCTCACCATCTGCTCTTTGTCCTGAGGCTCCAATAGAAATACAGTGAAGAATAAACATTGTATAAGCACACAATTACAAAAAAGGAATGGGGTTACCAACAGAAGAGAATTCATCTTCATTACACAATGACAGTACATGGAAAATGGTTAATTCATGGAGCAAAGCAACAAAGGTGGAGGTCAGGGGGATACTGAGGACAAGGAGGCTAATCTGTCCCACAGCAACCTGGAAAGGTTCTAGACTCAGACACGAGGTACCCCCGACAGTGGGACTGATAGGCAAGACTGAAAACAGAGATTAAGCAAAAGCCCGGATAGAGAACACATTTCACAGGCCCTGAAACACACTGCTGGCCCCATCTCCTTAAACAGAACCCAAGCAAACGTATCCACCTCAGGCAAGAGAATGTAGATTTTACATCCAGAGGAATGGAGTAGTCATCCAGCCATCATTTATGATTGCACCAGGAGATAAGATAGAGGGATGGAGGATAACAATTAGGAATCAGCATACATTCCCCTTAAAGCTATCAGTTGACAAGTCTTGGCCACAAAGAACTCCCAATCAATTTTTATTTATTTTTATTTTTATTTATTTATTTTTTTTGAGACAGGGTCTTGCTCTTTCGCCCAGGCTGGAATGCAGGAATGCAGTGGCATGATCAGAGCTCACTGCAGCCTCAACCTCCTGGGCTCAAGCAATCCTCCTGCCTCAGCCTCCCGAGTAGCTGGGACTGCAGATGGGTGTCACCACACCTAGCTATTTTTTTTTTTAAAGGTGGGGTCTCACTATGTTGCCCAAACTAGTCTTGAGCTCCTGGGCTCAAGTGATCCTCCCACTTTGGTCTCCCAAAGCACTGAGATTATAGGTGTGAGCCACCACACCCCGGCTCCCAGTCTTTTAGTACCTCTCTCAAATATGAATGAACAAATAAAGGAATGGAAAAAAGATTACAGGTCAGGCGTGGTGGCTCATGTCTGTAATCCCAGCACTTTGGGAGGCCAAGGTGGGTGGATCACCTGAGGTTGGGAGTTCCAGACCAGACTGACCAACATGGAGAAATCCCATCTCTACTAAAAATACACAAATTAGCTGGGCGTGGTAGCACATGCCTGTAATCCCAGCCACTTGGGAGGCTGAGGCAGGAGAACCGCTTGAACCTTGGAGGCAGACGCTGTGGTGAGCCGAGATCACATCATTGTACTCCAGCCTAGGCAACAAGAGCGAAACTGGGTCTCAAAAAAAAAAAAAAAAAAAAAAAGACAACAAATGATAAGCAACATAGAATAGATATTTAAGGAAAGGCTTTAAAAAGAAAAATAAGACCAAAATAAACCAAGGAAAAAAATTATTAAAGAACAAGGAGATGCCAGGGAGAAGACAAAGAGTATCAAAATCACTTCATAAAGACACTTGTGAATATATTACATGCATAAAACAAAACAATATGAATAAGAAATAATCAGAGAAGAAAAAGTTCTTAGAACTCATGCTTCATCTTGGGAGTTGGTCTCCAATGAGCCATACCTCCTGTCATCATGTCCTTAGACAGGCCCATCCCATAGTCAATCTGGGTTGGCCCCAACACTCACTTTAACCTATAGCATGTGGTAGAAATGACACTGGACCTGTTCCAGGTCTAAGCCTTAAGAACTCCTGGCAGCTCCATTTCTGTGCTTCTGGAAGCCAAAAATAAGAATTGACTACCTTCTTGGAGAAAGAAAAGCCACATGAAGAGATCCGAGAGGATGAGATGCTATGCAGAGAGAAAGGCCACATCAAGAATTACCAAGGCAGCAGACCTGTGGGTGAAGAAGCCGTCTCGGACATTCCACTGCAGCTGAGCATCCAGATGACCAGTCCCTGACACTGTTTAACCACACAGTGAAAGCTGCAAAATGAGACCAGCAGAAAAACTGTCCAGCTAGCCCCAGGTAATCCATACAGTAGTGACAGATAGACAGATGTGTAGTTTTATGCCATTAAGTTTTGGGATAATTGGTTAAACAACAATAAATAACCAAAACAAAACTTAAAGTTATGACAGTCCAAATAAAATTTCCTGAAAGTCGAAAGATAAGGAAATATTCCAGAACTTAAAATTTTAAAAAAATTTAGAAATAACAGGAGATACAAGACTCAAGACAAGAGGTCTAAAATCCAATTAACAGACACTTCAAAATGAACAAATAAAATGGAAAAGAGAAAGTTAACAACAAAAATATGACAAGATTCAAGACTCCAACTTTGAAAGAGCCTATCCATAGGCCTGTTCATTTGGTGTACCCAGCATAATGAATGAAAAAAGACCCACACTAAGTACACTGTTGTGCTATTTCAGCTCACCAAGGAAAAGACGAACTCCTAAAGCTTCCAGGGAGAAAGTCATGCATAAACAAGTGAAACTCAGGATGGCATGAGGCTTCACCACCATGACTGGTTAGAAGACAACAGTACAGACTTTGAAATTCTAAGGTAAAATTATCCTCAACCTAGAAATACATAATCAAGCAAACTATCAATCAAGTGTGAGGGTAGAATATGAGAGACGTGAATACTGATGGGGATGTGGTATGCAGCAGGCACTGTTCTAAATGGTTTACATGTCCCAACCCAATTAAGAAACTTAAAATACACACACACACACACACACACACACATACACACACACACAGTTTTTCCTGCTAATCATTTTACGATGAAACAACCAAGTAGCTAACCCAGAGCCCACAAAGGCAGGGTAAAAATTCTAACACTTGGTAAAATAAAAATGCACATATACCCTGTGATCTAAAAAAAAATGCTTAAATATTCAAAGACAGACAGCAATTACAGCTACTGAGAACATCACTGTAAGCAAACTGAGGCAGAGAAAACAAAGGTGCTAATGAGGATTTGAACCACCTAACATGCAGAAACCCACTGGATGCTTTCCTAGGTTCCGAGCTGGCATTGTCTTTCAGAATGATCTAGAAGAGGTCACATGACACTGTTACAAAGGATCTGGAAAAAGGGACCCTTGCTTTATCACTCTGGCTCTCCAGTCATGCTTCACATTTTCACTTCTTACACTCTTTCACATGAAGTCAATTTACAGACCTCCATAAAGCCCTTAGAGACCTTTTTGTAATATTCATGACAAGTTCTGGATGTCATCTCTGCACTTATATATACTTTCAGCAGCATCAACACCTAAAAGTGGTTGACTTTACTACTGTCCTAAATTAAATTACATTCATTTTGTCAATAGGTGTTCCAAATTCGTACTGATCTTTGTCTCCAAGGGGTTCCTGCTGAATATTGAGACAGTTGAAGATTACTAGGGGAAAAAATTCTTAATAATCGAAGTAAGGATCATCTAAGGATAATATGCCACATATACACACACAGTCACATTTTCAGCTTTAAAAATGTTCAGTTATCAAAGTTGTACAGCAAACACTGTCCTAAGCTTAGCATCTTCAGGCATTTGATTTATAATCACTGTAAACTGGCCCTGTTTCAACCCCTTAGATGTAGCCCTCAGTTCAGGGAAGGGAAGAGTTCTCTACTGGGCTGATAAAGCAGAATTCAGAAACATTGTTTTCTTCTTTACCTGGTGTTTTACAAAACCAGAAGATGTGAGTGTGACTCGTAAAGGCAAGAGCATGTATATTATGCAAAAGCAGCCTGAAATATTTTATTCACAGATAGACAGACAATACTTGACTCCCTGCTAATCTGAAATACTTCGTGGGGAGGGCCAGGGAAATCAAAACAAAATTTCAGAAGTAGAATGAGCTATTTGGTGTATGTCTCCAAGGCCAATAAATAACAAGAAGGAAAAATAAATTTCTTTGCTAACAACAAGAAGGAGAAATAAACTTTTTTGCTCTAAAACATTTTCCAATTATCTCCATGACACTGGAGGGAAGGACTAACAAAAAAAAAAAAAGAAAGAAAGAAAGAAAAAAGAAAGAAAAGGAAAAAAAAAGGTGGGGCATGGTAGCTCATGCCTGTAATCCCAGCACTTTGGGAGGCCAAGGCGGGTGGATCACAAGGTCAGGAGATCGAGACCATCCTGGCCAACATGGTGAAACCTGGCTCTACTAAAAAATACACAAAATTAGCCGCAGGCACCTGTACTCCCAGCTACTTGGGAGGCTGAGGCAGGAGAATGGCATGAACCCGGGAGGCAGAGCTTGCAGTGAGCCGAGATGGCGCCACTGCACTCCAGCCTGGGGGACAGAGCGAGACTCCATCTCAAAAAAAAAAAAAAAAAAAAAAAAAAATTAACCATCACAGAGGAGCAGAGAAAAACCTTCTCAAAGACAGAAGTCATTGATTTATTTCCATCCCGGCACAAGCTCCTTAATTCTGTAACTTGTCCAGAACGGTTTCCTGTCACTGTAGATTCTGCATCAGAACATCCTCTTATGCAAAGCTAAAAAACTCCAAACCACCTCTGTTAACTGTGCAGTGCTCCATGGTTTCACACAGTCCAGAGCTGCTTGTGTTTATCAAAAATGAAGCTGAAAACAAAATTCTTCCTTCACACAACCACTACATTCCATTGCACGTTTACCAAAGACATTTACCACGTTGGCATTATTTGTGCATCCATCAAGAAGTGCTGAAAAGCATTCCCCTCACACGCTGCATGTGTCCTGTGAGTGGATCTTCCATTTTACTTGCCAGCTCTGGAAAACTTTGAATTTGTGTGTCGATGGAAAATTAAAGTTTAGTGGCATCTTTGCCCCACATTCACCCAACTTTTCTACGGAACTATTTCAATGCTATTTTTCACTAGTGTCACTTTTCAGTCTTAGCCTCCTGGAGTACAACTTTATTAGAAGCCCGCAAAGCACTAGTGTTAAAATGAGAAATAGTAAACATCTGATTCTGTTGTGTTTTAACTCCATGCTTTTCTCTAATGTTTCATTGTTTTGAATTTAATTCTTTGTGCTTCCCACGTGAATGCAACTTACAGTTTGAATGTCTTCTTTCTTCACTAGCCGATGCACCTGTGCCAGTAACACACGGTGATTCTGTCCTTTCACCTTCAGTTATGCCTGTAAAACCAAATTCAAGACAGATGATCCTCAACTCACAAAGGAGTTATAGCTCATCATCAGTTGAAAATACAAGCCAAAAATGCATTTAAGGCCGGATGCAGTGGCTCAGCCTGTAATCCCAACTCTGGGAGGCTGAGGCGGGTGGATCACCTGAGGTCGGGAGTTCGAGACCAGCCTGGCCAACATGGTGAAACCCTGTCTCTACTAAAAATACAAAAATTAGCCAGGCATGTTGGTGCGCACCTGTAATCCCAGCTACTGGGAAGGCTGAGGCAAGAAAATCGCTTGAACCCAAGAGGCAGAGGTTGCAGTGAGCCGAGATCATGCCATTGCACTCCAGCCTGGGTGACAAGAACAAAACACACTGTCTCAAAACATAAAATTAAATTAAATTAAATTAAAATGCATTTAATACACCTAAACTAACATCATAGCTTAGCCTAGCTTACCTTAAACATTCTCAGAAAATTTACATTCACCTTCCATTGGGCAAAAATTATCTCTCACAAACCCACTTTAAAGTGTTGAATATCTCATGTAATTTATTGAATACTGAAGTATGGTTTCTGCTGAATGCATATCACTTTCACACCATCATAAAGTCAAAAAATTATAAGTCAAACCATTGTATGTCAGGGATCATCTGTCCATTAGAAATAGTACTTCTGAGTAAAACGAGGACAAACTCCTTTGGTCTTCATGTCCTCAGAATCACTTTCATAATCATCTCTTGGTTTACAAGGTGCATCTTTTATTGGTTAAAAAAATTAATACAATTTATTTCACTCTCAAATTAGGTTTAATAATAAATAATACAACTTTCTTTTGTTTTCACTAATAATGCTAACATTGGCTTGATTTAAAATTAAAATTATTGCAAATATAAGACTTTATAGAATAGATGTTCCTATTTTTCAGATGTGTGAGATTATACTATAGTTGATAAACTAACCTTAAAGAACGCAGCTTGCAATGTGGTCCTTGTGCATGTGACTCGTTTGCAGCTCACAGCCTCTGCATCTTTCCATTGAGTCTGACAAAACCTCAGTTGGTCTGTAACTGCTCATTGAGACAAGTCCCCTGATGTCACATACAGATGCTGGGAGAATGTCAAGTTTCTATAGAAATTTCTAAACATTTACCCTGAATTTCTATGTTTCTATCATTACGTAGAGATGACAGAGTGTTGACAGACTTTGAGTGGTCTTTAGTAACCAATTGTTGAAAGTCTGGTTTAGCTAAACTAGTTTGTAAATACCTCGGCAGGTGCCTTTGCTGTAGGAATTCTCAGAGTCTCTATAAACTAATGAGCATTGGAAATCTGCAGGGGGGAAACAGAGTATGCAGTATCCCCCATGATGATTCAACCCCAGATTTTATTTTTCACTGAGGATCTCACACTTAGTAGTGTATCTTTTCTATGCATTGGGCACTGGGAGACGACGTGTAGTCATCTCAACAGAGACCTGGCCTTCAGATGCCACCACTCACTGCCGCTCTGTCCAGGCGAGCATCAACTTGCACTGTTTCAGAAGCAAAAGGAAAATGAACCGCAGCCACTGAAGTCCCTCAGAACTGAGGAAAAGTTACTGACTTTCCTGATTTGTGTTCAATCTGGCTGGCCATGGGTACAGACACAGCTGGTTTCCCCATTTGTGAGTTGGACGGATTTAATTCCTGGCTGTTTGAATGATGTATCCCCTCATCAGTGAAACCAACAGAGTAGCTCAACTTAATTTTCTCTTTCTATGGCATGCCATTTATACCCATTCAATTATGCCTGTGTCAATTAAGTCAAACATTCTTACTGTCTCTATTTCTAATAAAAAGTGGTAAACACTCAAAAACCCCTTTCATAAATAGGCATGTATAAAAGCAATGATCTTAATAAAAATGTTGGACTTAATAAAAGTATTTTAAAAAACAGTAGGAACCGTAATATAATAAAGGCCTTGGCCGGGCGTGATGGCTCACACCTGTAATCCTAGCACTTTGGGAGGCTGAGGCGGGCAGATCACGAGATCAGGAGATCGAGACCATCCTGGCTAACACGGTGAAACCCCATCTCTACTAAAAACACAAAAAATTAGCTGGGCGTGGTGGCAGGTGCCTGTGGTCCCAGCTACTCGGGAGGCTGAGGCAGGAGAATGGTGTGAACCCAGGAGGGGGAGTTTGCAGTGAACAGAGATTGTACCACTGAACTCCAGCCTGGGCGACAGAGCGAGACTCCGTCTCAAAAAAAAAAAAAAAAAAAAAAAAAAAAAAAAATATATATATATATATATATATATATATATATATATATATATATATAAAGGCCTCATTTTGCAGGTGAGGACACTGAAGATTATAGAAGAAAGAAGGGCTTCATGCAAAACCACGTTCCTGATTGTTGGCGGAACCAAGCCCACAACCTGGAACTCAAGTTTCTCTACTTATAGTAGACGCTCAAAGAATTATAATACTTTATAACAACGTCATAATCATTTGACGTTTCTAAGCTGGTCATGTTTTTTTCCTGTGTACTTCTCCCCTCTCAACAATTACCGTGCCCTTGGCAATTTAATAAAGCAGGCTAATATTCAACTCAGTGACCTACAGCTTGACAAGCATCTCCTGCTCCCAGAAAACAGAAGGTGTTGCTGTCAAACTAATACTAAATAATAATTTTCTGTAGTCCTAGAACCTCTGGACTTCCCAATTACATGACCAATAAACCCCCTCATTGTCTGAGCCAGTCTGAGCTGGGCAGCCTGACTAAAGTCTGGAACATCCTAACTGGCACAAAGGCCCTTAAGATGACCCCAAGCCACCTGTCTGGCTTTCTCTCGTCACTTCCTTCTACATCCTCTCTGCAACAACCAAATTAGATTACTCACCATTCCCCACACTGCCTTGTGATTTTCTTTCTTTCTTTTTTTTTTTTTTGATGAAGTTTTACTCTTGTTGCCCAGGCTGGAGTGCAGTGGTGTGATCTCAGCTCACTGCAATCTCTGCCTCCTGGGTTCAAGTGATTCTCCTGCCTCAGCCTCCCGAGTAGCTGGAATTACAGGTGCCCACCATCATGCCCAGCTAATTTTTGTATTTTTATGAGAGACAGGGTTTCACCATGTGGGCCAGGCTAGTCTCCAACTCCTGCCTCGGCCTCCCAAAGTGGATTTTCTTTTTTTACCCATGCACTTGCCCAAGCCGACTTTCTGGCTCAAACCTTTCCCCTGGCCTTGCATCCTCTCTATCCATCTGCCCAAACCTCCCTCACTCTCCAAAGTCTCATTTCAAGTGTTGCTTTTCCCTGAAGCTTCTCCTGGAATGACCCATCTCTCCCTCCTCATTCTGATCATTTCCTCTTTGAATTCCCATAGCATTAGGTATGCCCTCCTCTTCCAGCACTGAATCCAGCCTTGCCTCGCATTAGAGTCATTTGTACACCTGACCTTAATCCCCCTGAGGGCAGGGATAGTTTGTGTTTATCCCAAAGTCCTGAAACAACTAGTACAGAACCTGAGACACAGGAAGGCCCCAGAATTGCCTGCTGAATAGAACAGTGATAGTGCTGAATTTGGTTCCTCCTTTAACCTGTGTGACCCCAGACGTTTGTTTTCTATGAAGCCTCAAAACATGGTTATGTTTCCTAATTTACAACTAACACATGGAAACCCATGTTTTGAAAATGGGGGTGGGGAGGATGAACTGAAGGCAGCCTCTTCAGCCAAGTTCCAAAGGCCAGGTGGCCCACTGTGAACCTTGTTTAACCACACAGAACATATGAATAGCTACAACAAGGGATCTAACAGTTACCAGAATGTTTTCAGAAAGGTGACTTCAGAAGTGCCAAGCTTCAGGAAGACCTGGACTGAGAAGGGATCAGACAACTTTAGGAAAGCAGGTACCAAACAGCCCTTTTACAGTTTACACACAGGCCTTGGTGTCAGAAAAATACTGGTTTGAGTACTGGTTATGCATCAGAGATGCCACTCTGGACAAGCTCCTTATGCTCTCTGGGACTCTGCTTTCTCATCTAAAAAATGGGGATCACCTGAGGTCAGGAGTTTGAGACCAGCCTGGCCAACATGGCAAAACCCCACCCCTGCTAAAAATACAAAATTAGATGGGTGTGGTGGCTCGCACCTGTACTTGCAGCTACTTGGGAAGCGGAGGCAGGAGAATTGCTTGAACCTGGGAGGCAGAGGTTGCAGTGAGCTGAGATCGCACCACTGCACTCCAGCCTGGGCAACAGAGTGAGACTCTGTCTCAAAAAACGGGGCGGGGTGGGGTGGATAATAATAGTGCCTACCTCAAGAGGTTGCTGTGAACACCAGAAGAAGCAATACACACCAAGTGCCTACAGATAGTAAGCACTTGGTAAAAATGTAACTGCCATTAACAATAAATATGATGCTCACAGGGTCAGTGGAAAAAGTAGTGGAAAGTAGGAGTGGTGGGAACAGAATAGGAGGGAACAAAGCACCTCTGAGTAGACCTTTCTGTATAGCTCCGACCCTTATTATGTTTCACACTAATAATTCATTAAAACTAGGATAGGAAGGCTGAGGGTGTTTTTGGAATACAAACACTAATGAACCAAACTGCATTATAAATAGTGGCCACACTGAAAGGGATGAAGAAGAAAATAACTACTTTTTTTTTTTTTTTAGACAGAGTCTCCCTTTGTTGCCCAGGCTGGAGTGCAGCGGGGCTATCTCAGCTCACTGCAATCTCTGCCTCCTGGGTTCACGCCATTCTCCTGCCTCAGCCTCCCGCAGTAACTGGGACTACAGGCGCCCGCCACCACACCCAGCTAATTTTTTGTATTTTTAGTAGAGACGGGGTTTTACCATGTTAGCCAGGATGGTCTCGATTTCCTGACCTCGTGATCTGCCTGCTTCGGCCTCCCAAAGTGCTGGGATTACAGGCGTGAGCCACCGCGCCCGGCCCCCCCAGCTCCATTTTTTTTTTTTTTTGAGACGGAGTCCCGCTCTGTTCCCCAGGCTGGAGTGCAGTGGCACAATCTCAGCTCACTGCAAGCTCCGCCTCCCTGGTTCAAGCCATTCTCCTGCCTCAGCCTCCCAAGTTGCTGGGACTACAGGCACCCGCCACCACGCCCTGCTAATATTTTTTGTATTTTTAGTAGAAACGGGGTTTCACCGTGTAAGCCAAGATGGTCTCGGTCTCCTGACCTTGTGATCCACCCACTTTGGCCTCCCAAAGTGCTGGGATTACAGGCGTGAGCCACCGCGCCTGGCCTCCCCCTGCTTTACTTGTATTAACCAAATATTTATGAGTCTATCTATCAAGCGTTCAAATTATTTTACATGTAATCGCCAATCTCCAGAAAATAAATGGGACCACAACAAATTTACCCTAATTTCTGCAGCGAGCATAAATAATTGCTTTCAAGGGATGCTTGAATGAAATTACTATCCTGACTGTAGGGGCAGGGGCTTGGTGAAGATTTGTCCTTTGTGAGTAATGAGAAGAGTATACTTGGATATAAAAATAGTGAAGAAATAAGTAGTTTTTAAAAAAACCCTAAATTCCATGTTTAGCAAAGTTAATGAGCCCTAAATTCCTAAAGCTGAGTATTAGTGTGTAAATGAGTACTCCAAACCAACAGAGAATAACCTTGTAATTCATGGATATTTAGCTAAAACTTCATATGTTCTTATCATTCTGTGTCTCCTAGTTTTAGTTCAAACAGATGTTTTCACTCTTAAAAGACTCAAAATTTCTGACAATGCCCTTTATTAATGTTACTTTTTGAGAAATCACTTATTAAGTAAAAATTAAATTTACATTTTTCAAAATTGCATGTTGGGTTAATTTACCAAATCTTTTATCTGTTTTGTGTTTCCAGTTAGCCATTTTTGTTTCTGATTTGTAAATATTCAAAAATATTTGTTGAAATTACAAATTTTATTAATTGATTTTTGAGGGGAGTAGGGTGCGTTAGTTACTTTTCATTTAAATTCTGTGGTGTTTTTGCATATTCAAATTATTGTATTGTGAATAACCTGAAAGACAGTAGCTGTATGATCGTTTGAGGTAATGGTAACAATACTCAAGGGTTGAAAAGATATGATTTTAAGTATGAGCTAAGGAGACTGCCCTTTATGTAACTACGGGATGATGTGAAAATCTGTTTTAACAGCATGATTAAATTTGGAATTCTTTTTTTTTGAAGTTTTGTAAAAGGGAGGCAGAAGTTTAAGGGAAAAAGTTGGCCAGGTAAACTTGGATAGTTTTAGATCTGTTAGTGACAGAATACTCAAGCTCTTGAAAATAGGAAAAGTTGTTCTTGCCATGTTAAAGGACAAGGGCTGCCATATGCTAATCACTGTATCTTTACTCAGATCCTATAAAATGATTTGTACAGAGAAGGGATTTAGTAAATCTTTACTAAATTAATGTTAGATGATGGAATGGATCATTGCGGCTGAAGGAGAGAGTAGTGAAAATGAGGATATTAGGAAAGGAAGGGGATGATTTGCTCAGATGTTGTTAAATTAGGTTTTGATAGAAAAAACCTGGAAGAAAAAAACCGACAACAGCCTGCATGACTTCTTAAAGCCCCCACCTCTTAATACTGTTTCAATGGCAATTACATTTCACATGAGTTTGAAGGGGACCTTAAAACCATAGCAAAGAGCACATTATATTCGTTGTTTCTGTGTAGTGCTGCTTCTTTACCAGGCTAATAAATCCTGGTAGACATGCAAGAGCTTGCTCCTAATCCAAAATAAACAAAATGTGTTTTACTGAGAAAATTGCAGACATATCAAAGGGTAGTTTGACAGCACGGGTACAGAATACTATCAAGACATTTTCTTCTGTTTTACATACATGGGTAATTCTTGCTTGAATGCAAGAGGGCTGAATACCAGCCTTATTTAATATATTTTGTGTCAACTTCTGTATACAGATTTTTTTTTCTTGAGGTGAGAGAAGAGGAAAGAGGAGAACGTTAATTCCAGATAGCTTTAAGCAAATGTTAGAAAGGCGAACATTTATAGGTTTCCAAATATCTTTTGGCTAGCTGACATTTACAAACACGGAGCTAGGTAAGCTTTTCCCCCTAGCAATATTAAGGCTCTAGCAGCAAGTAAAGGATATGTGAAGTGAAATATGCCATTCAAACATAGTAAAGAAGAAGACTGTTTGTAACCACCGTTGGTGAAAATCACGAGAACCAAGTCTTTCTTGTTATTTTAAACATCCTATAAAAGCATTGCAAAAGTTTATATTGCTGGTTAAAATATTTGGGACTATTTTGTCCATTTCCACACCTTACTTTAAGGTCCAGGCATTTGTTGAGAGGGAAATTGCCTATTTAACTGAAGGAACAATATGTTTTAAATTACTGAGAGTACTCTGTTGAAACTTAATGAGAACAGAAAGCAGCGTTAATAAGAAAAATAGTATTTACAAAGATTGCTTAAGGATGCAAGCTGGGTACCAACTAATTGTAATTCTTTAATTTCGGTATGCATGCAACATCTCATGTGTATGAAAACAAAATGTGTATTTCCAAGCAGTATGTTTTAGGATCAGAGAATTTCAACCAAATATTAAATTCTCAAATAGTATGCAAACAAGTGTCAATCATGGCTTTAACATGACAGCTGGAGGAAAAAATTTAAGCAACATGTGTAGATAATTGTGGTTAATGTTTATCTGTACATAGGAAGATACTTCAGATGTGTAAGTATGCAAATAACTCTCGGATTTCTAATTACTGTATTTATCAAGTTCTATATGCTGTCTAAATTCAGAAATGAAAGCAATTTTAAAATAGCATGCATATTATAATTACAATATTAAATTGAGCTCAACTTTCCTAGCTATTCTCTGCCTTTCTGTCTGCCTCTGCCTATGTCTCTATCTCACACATGTATGTGTGTATGTGTATATATACCCTCACTTGTGAACATATATTCATAACCACATGTATAAACACACAGTATAAAAGGATATTAGGAAAGGAAGTGGATGATTTGCTCAGATTTTGTTAAATTAGGTTTTGATAGAACAAACCTGAAAAAATACACTAAAACATATGAGGACATATACCAAAATATTATCAGTAGTTAATTTTAAGACAAGCCTGATGGGTCATTTTAATTTTCTACTTTTTACCTGTCTGTTTTGATTGCAACTTTAAAAATAAGCCTGTGTTACTTTTTAAAGAGAAAGAGAGAGGGAGAGAGCAAGATTTGCCTGTTTTGGAAAATTGTTTTAAAGGAACACCACAGGAAATTAAGTCATTCTTAGGTGCCTGCCATTTATATCTAAAAATGGTTTTCAATAATGGGATAGCTCTAATATCAGTAGAGAGATCCATTATCACATGCAGATTTAACCTTGTTGTTGCAGGCCAGAAATATTTAAAACCATTTAACTGACTTGAAGAATTCTTCAATTTTTGAAAATATATTTAAAAAGAAAAACTTTCCAGTTAATTTTATGAAGTTAACAAAATATTGATTCTAAATGATATATTTATAAAATTTTATTTTGTAATTGGTTATTGGTAGTGTAAGGAAATAAAATAGACTTTTATGTGCTCATATTGTAACCAGTGATCCTGATAGCTATATTTAGTTATTCGTTCTAATATTTTATTTTAGATATTCTACATATACAATAATGTCCTTAGCAAATAATGACCTGTGTATTTCTTTCTTGCTAATTCTTACTTTTTTTTTCTTATTGAACTGACTAGGGAATTTTTTTTCTGATCCCATAAGGAAAGCTTTCCATATTTCCTTATTAATTATAATATTTTTGTAAGATTTTATGATTATCTTTCACCAGATTAAATACATTCCATTCTATTGTTTGCAATATTAAAAAATATATTCTGCATCCATTGAGATGAGATTTTCTTCCATATTGTTAATATAGTGATATTAAAATAATATTTTATTATTGAAACACAATTGGTTTTTACTTTACTGTACTTTTTAAAATTAAGATATAATTCATACACCATAATATTTGTCCTTAACAAGGATGCAGCTCAGTGATTAGTATATTCAGAAGGTTATGGTATAATCATTGCAAATTCCAGAATAATTTCATCACTGAACAACAACAAAAAAATCCTGTGTCTCTTATTAGCCAGTCCTTGTTTGCTCTTCTCTCTAGCCCCTGGCAATCACTGATCTACCTTCTGTCTCTATAGATTTGCTTTTTCTGGGCATTTCATATAAGTAGGATTATAGAATATGTGACATTTTGTGTCTGGCATTTTTCACTTAATGTTTTCATGATTCATACCTGTATCATGTATCAGTAGTTCATTCCTTTTATGGCTAAATTATATTCCATTGTATGGATATACCACTTTTTGATTATCCATTCATCAATTGATGGACATTTGCATTGTCTTTATGGCCATTACAAATAATGTTGCTATAAACATTTGTGTCCAGGTTCTTTGTAGACATGTTTTTCATTCTTTGGGAGATATTCCTAAGGAGTAGAATTGTCCAGTCATTTGATAACACTGTTTAACTTTTTTTTCTTTTCTTTCTTTCTTTTTCTTTTTTTTTCTGAGACAGAGTCTCACTCTGTCGCCCAGGCTGGAGTGCAGTGGCGTGGTCTCAGCTCACTGCAACCTCCGCCTCCTAGGTTCGAGCAATTCTCCTGCCTCAGCCTCATGAGTAGCTGGAATTACAGGTGCCTGCCACCACGCCTGGGTAATTTTTGTGTTTTTAGTAGAGATGGGTTTTCACTGTGTTGGCCAGGCTGGACTCAAACTCTTGACCTCAGGTGATCCTCCCACCTTGGCCTCCCAAAGTGCAACTGCAAAATTGTTCCTACCATGGCTGCATCGTTTTGCGTTCCCACCAGCAATTTATGTGGGATTGTTTCCACATTCTCAAACATATTTGTTATTTTCTTTTTGATCATAGTATGAAATGGTATCTCCTGGTGGTTTTGATTCACATTTCTCAAATGACCAATAATGTTGAGTATCTTTTCATGTGCTTCTTGCCTATTGTGTATCTTTTTTGGAGAATTTTCTACTCAAATCATTTCTCCATTTTAAAAATAGGTTATATGTTTTTTTATTATTGAGTTGTAAGATACATATTCTGAATACAAGTCTTTTAGAAGATGTATGATTTGCAAAATTGTTCTCCCATTCTGTAGGTTGTCTTTTCACTTCCTTGGCTTTTTCTTTTGAAGAAAAAATTTAGTTTTAATTAAGCATAATATAGCCCCCTTTTTTTTCTTTTGTTGCTTGTAATTTGGTGCTATATCTAAGAAACCATTGTTTAATCTAAGGTCATGAAGATTTTGCTTATGTTTTCTTCTATGAGTTTTTTACTTCTAGGTCTTACATTTAGGTTTTGATCAACTTTGTGTGTAAGGTAAGGTCAGAATCCAACTTCGTTTGTTTGCATGCATATGTACAGTTGTCCCAACACTATTTGTTGACAAGACTACTATTTCCCCTTTGAATTTTCTTGGCATCCTTTTAAAAATCAATTGCTCATAAATATAAGGTTTATTGATTAATGCTCAATATTATTTCATTAAATTTATATGTCTATCTTTATGCTAATGCAACACCGAATTAATACAGTTTGGTAGAAAATTTTCTGTTTCAAGACTATTTAGACCATTCTGGGTGCTTTGCTATAGTAGTTTCCTGTTCCTGATGTAACATCTTACTACAAAGTTATGCCTAAAAATATCACAGCTTTATCATCTTAATGTGTGCATGTGTGCGTGCGTGTGTGCGTGCGTGTGTGGATTCCTTAGGATTTCCTGTATGCATAAATATTTTTCCATGTATATCTATATACAAATTCTTTATACCTCATGGCATCTCCATATAGAGATAGTTATATTTCTTTCTTTTTAATCTTCACCCCAGGCTACTATCCAATTGAATAAAAGGTGGTGCTACTATTGAACGTGCCATAGAATATTAACTTTGTAAACTGACTTGAAGTCTCCCTGGGTGAATGCTAACCCTCTCATATATAATAATGGCTTCATTTACAAAATGTATAACATGATGACTACCAAATTATTTCTTCAGCCTTGACTTTTATCAAGAACTGCCAAATCTGAATCTAATTCCCATTTAGGATTGCCACAGGTATGTTCAAAATAGTACTTTCTTTTTCTCATAAGATTCTGCCTTATGTCTTGAATTTATACTCTAGGTAAATGTTGTAAGCAGAATAAAAACCCCCAAAGATGCTCACACTTTAATCCTTGAGACCTGAATATTCTGTATTACCTGACAAAAGAGACTTTGCAGTTAGAATTATGAATATTAAAATGAGGACCGTATATGAGTCCAATCTAATCACTATGAGCCCTTAAAAGCTGAGACCATGTGCAGTTGATTTCTGAGAGACGGGGCAGGAGGGAAAGGCAGAGATATTTGAAATGTTCGTGCTGCTGGAAAGGCCCATGAAAAAAGCATAAGAAGGAACAGGGACAGTCTCTAGGAGGAAAGGCTGGTCCCAGCTGACGGCCAGCAAGGAAATGGGGACTGCAATAATACCCACTCAAGGAACTAAGTGTGTATAACAATCTGAACACACGTGGAAGCAGACCTTTCCTCAGAGCCTACAATAAAAAATGCAAGAGTGTGGCCGGGCGCGGGGGCTCACGCCTGTAATCCCAGCACTTTGGGAGGCCGAGGCGGGCAGATCACGAAGTCAGGAGATCAAGACCATCCTGGCTAACACGGTGAAACCCCGTCTCTACTAAGAAAAATACAAAAAAATTAGCCAGGCGTGGTGGCGGGCGCCTGTAGTCCCAGCTACTCTGGAGGCTGAGGCAGGAGAATGGCGTGAACCCGGGAGGCGGAGCTTGCAGTGAGCCGAGATCGCGCCACTGCACTCCAGTCTGGGCGACAGGGCGAGACTCCGCCTCAAAACAAACAAACAAAATGCAAGAGTGATGGAGTCAGTGCATTACTACCTGAATACAACACACTTTTCAAGCTATATAAACTTCATGCTTTCCTCGTTTTATAAAAGTCATCTCCTCTGCCTTGAAAACTCTCCCCATTGTTATTAATCTGCCTGAAAATTTATCTTCATCCTCAAGTGTCTACGCAAATGGTCTGTTAAATGAGTTCTTCCCAGATGATCCCAGATAATGAGTACCACTTTTTAAAATTAGATTTCTAGATACTTTCATTATTGTAATCCACTTTTATAGGAAATTTTTGTTGTTGTGTATCTCCTTACTAAAGGAACTTTTTTTTGTTTTTGAATCTGCATCAATTGTTGAACACATATAGAATATATTAAATACATACAAGCTAATGAAGTAACACATGAATGCATCTCAGACCACTGATCCTAAAACAACCATTTTTTTCTTTCATTCTGTCAAATACTTTTTCTCTAATATCCTATACTTTTGTTACTATTCATGGATTTTATCTATTTATAGTTATTTTCTTACTGATATGCAAGAATTTTCTATGTATAGTGTATCACATATCTTGCAAAATTTTGTTTGGTTTGCATAATATCTTTTTATTTTATTGTGAATGACATTATAGAACTTTACAGATGAAATAAAGTCTGTCGGCCGGCTGCGGTGGCTCGTGCCTGTAATCCCAGCACTTTGAGAGGCAGAGGCGGGCAGATGACGAAGTCAGATCAAGACCATCCTAGGCCAACATGGTGAAACCCTGTCTCTATTAAAAATACAAAAATTAGACAGGCGTAGTGGTGCGTGCCTGTAGTCCCAGCTACTTAGGAGGCCGAGGCAGGAGAATTGCTTGAACCCGGGAGGCGGAGGCTGCAGTGAGCCGAGATCGCGCCACTACACTCCAGCTTGGGCTACAGAGGGAGCCTCTGAAAAAAAAAAAAAATCTGGCTAGGCGCGGTGGCTCACGCCTGTAATCCCAGCAATTTTGGAGGCCGACGCGGGCGGATCACGAGGTCAGGAGATTAAGACCATCCTGGGTAACACTGTGAAATCCCATCTCTACTAAAAAAATACAAAAAATCAGCCGGTGGGCACCTGTAGTACCAGCCAGTCCGGAGGCTGAGGCAGAAGAATGAGGTGAACCCGGGAGGCGGAGCTTACAGTGAGCATAGATAGCACCTCTGCACTCCAGCCTGGGCGACACAGCGAAGACTCCGTCTCAAAAAAAAAAAAAAAAGGCATTTATATGTCCATTCTTCCACTTATGCAGCCCTACTTAATTATTGTCATTACAAAATGATGCTTATCCTTCTGCTAAATTTCTCTGAGTATTTCTAATATTTATGCTGACAGATAAAATTGAATTATTTTTAATCAAAGTCCAAAAATACATCATTAAATTTATATTTTTTTCAAAAGAAAAGACAAAAAAAATTTTTAATTTATCCAATGCTCCTTTTAAATCCCTAATGGAAAAATACGTTTTATTCATTCATTATATATAATGAATTCATTTTATTGAATGATTAATAAAGTGATTTTATTAATGAATGAATAAAATGTATATAAAATGAATGAATAAAATGTATATATAAATATATTTATATTTATTTTTAAAGAATTTTTGGCTAATTTTTTGCTAATTTTATTTTTATTATTATTATTTTTTTTGTAACGGACTCTCTGTCTGTGCCCAGGCTGGAGTGCAGTGGTGCGATCTCGGCTCACTGCAACCTCCGTCTCCTGGGTTCGAGCGAGTCTTCTGCCTCAGTTTCCCAAGTATCTGGGACTACAGGCATTCACCACCATGCCCAGCTAATTTTTGTATTTTTAGTAGTGATGGGGTTTCACCATATTGGCCAGGCTGGTCTTGAACTCCTGACCTTGTGATCCACCCATTTCAGCCTCCCAGAGTGCTGAGATTACAGACATAAGCCACCATGCTCGGCCACTAATTTTTTTTTTTTTTGAGACAGTCTCCCCCTGTTGCCCAGGCTGTGGTGATGTCATTGCAACCCCCACCTCCCACGCTTAAGTGATTCTCGTGCCTCAGCCTCCTGAGTAGTTGGGATTACAGGCATGTGCCACCATAGCCGACTAATTTTTTTTATTTTGTAGTAGACAGGGTTCCTCTATGTTGGCCAGACTGGTCTTGAATTCCTGGCCTCAAGCGATCTGCCCACCTCGGCCTCCCAAAGTGCTGGGATTACAGGCATGAACCACTATGCCCAACCAAGAGTTAATGTTACTTTTAAAATAAATCAAAAGAGCAAAACTTATCTGACAGCAATTGACAAAAGAAAACAGCAGTCTACTATTAAACATAATAAAATTTAAGGCAAAATTATTTTATTTGGGATTTTGGATTTCCTTGTGTTTTCTCTTCTTACTTAAACCTGCTTCCTTTCTATGCCTGCATTTCTCACCATCACTTTTCCCACTACAAGCTTACTGCTCCAGTTTTTTAAAAAGTCATGGCTCTTCTGTCTTTTTTAGTGTAAAAAGGGGAAATTTTCTAATTTTCAGATTTCTTGTGTTACATTCTTTTCATAAGTACATTCTTTTTGAATCCTAAATATTTCGTTGTTAGATGATTGTTCAACATCAGTTTGCTCATTCATGACTATAGAAAGATGTAGATTTAAGCCCTGGTTTTTGCAACAGAAAAGCCAGATGGCCCACAGCTTATCCCAGTTTCTACTTGAACACAATAAGCTTTCTTTTTCTCTCAACTTTATCCAGGAAGAACCATTTTATATACAGATTTCTGATCCAGTCTCCAGGGTTTCCAAGGCATTAATCAAGCATGGCTTTACTGGACAAATGTAGGGCCTTCTGTGTCTTTAATACTGGACTTTCTATGCCAGACAGTATCTTTGTTCTAGTTCTTCTTTGCACTGTTCATATCTCACTGGTTTAGATATAATTGCCTGCTGCAGGGTGGTGACTTCCCTCCGTGAATCTTCCTCAGTTTCATTATTGATGGTATACCATGTACGTGAGACAAAGATTTCTTTACTCTTCTTGAGGTCTCTCTATGCTGTTTGGTTCAGATAATATGGAGTTACCCATTGTAAACTCATTTACAGTGAAGTCAGTTGCAGCACTGATCTAGTTTGGCTGTGTCCCCACCCTAATCACATCTTGAATTGTAGTTACCGTAATCCCCATGTGTCGTGGGAGGGACCCAGTGGGAGGTAACTGAATCATGGGGGCTGTTACCCCCATGCTGCTGCTCTCGTGATAGTGAGTTCTCGTGAGATCTGATGGTTTTATATGGGTCTTTTCTCTCTTTGCTCTGTATTTCTCCTTCTGCCATCATGTGAAGAAGGATGTTGTTTGCTTCCCCTTCTGTTCCCCTTTTTTCCTGTATTTATTGATTCGAGTGTCATTCAGTTCAACATAAATTTTGTGAACAGCTGGTGTATGGTCAGCCCAAGGCTAAAACATTGTAAATGAATACATGGAGGACAGAAGTTTTGTGAACAGTGGGAGCAGAAGGCAAATCGCTGTAGACAGAGGAGAGAGCAAGAATGGACAACTTGCAAGAAGTTGAGCTATGTAGACAATGGGGTAAGAAAGCCAGGGGTGTTAGAGGAAGAGAAGTGAAAGTCGGATACCATAGCTTATAATGAGAACAGGAATTGGTAAAAATGTCAAGACAGGAGAAATCATATATGTTTAGAGGTTTAGTAGAGGAGCCATTTGACTTCTCTGTTCTTTTTGAGAAAGACGTGAATTGACAGAGATATAGGGAAAGTGTATTTGAAGTACAAGCAACAGCATGTATCTGGAAAACCAAAACACGGAGGGCATAAGTATGGGGGAACTGTGAATATTCCAACTTTGGCCACAACATTGGGTAGATATCATAGTTGCCCAGTAATGAAAACTTGTCTGAAAATGTATGTTTATGTCACACTGTGATAAAGAAGTATGTAATTAATTGGTTTATTTTAATCCCAATTATTGATTTTCCTGAATTATTGAGTATCACGAGACAATGGCCCATCTTAAGAAGTTCTAAGGAAGGTAGACTAATATGCAGGAAGGTATTTGTAACCCTCGAAACCCATTGGAGACACCTCACTAATGTATGGTAACCAGAATAATAGGAGGGTAGGAACTACGCCAATAATCAAAGTGATCCCTCCGCACGCCACTACCTAACTTCTTCAGCTTTGCTTAAACTCTGCCATCTGCTTGTGTGGCAGCAACGTCCTCCTAATAGTGTATGTTTACACTGAGTATTGGCACATAGTTTCTGCATCGTATAGAATTAAATTTCCTGTTTATTTTTTATTTTTGCTTTGTATTGTGTTGTACTTCGGTTCACTTATTTGTGTTTAGTCCAGATCATGATTCTAACAGGTTATAAAAATTTTGTGCATATGCCTCTTTTGAAATTTGTTTCTTGTTTGTATATCCACAGAATCCTTGAAAGATTCCTTTACCCAATGCCAAAAGAAATCCACTTAATACATTCCGCTGAGGCCTTTATATTAGTACACGTTAACTTTAAGTGGGAATATGCCACCGTGTGACATACTTTATGTGACAAGAAAAATGTTCTTAGATAAGATTCTCATCTCAAGCAAACTTTATACTGGAGACATTGCTTGCAATATCAGACTTCACTATTTTCAGCTCACAGTTTACTAAAGAGGATAATTGGAGAGGCATTCTAACATTAGTGGAGAAAAAGGCACTTGATGTTCATGACACTTGATAACAGAACCTCTGTATTTCTTAGTCTCTAGCACCATTTCATAGAATGAACTAAGTTATCAGAGGAGAGGAGATACACATTCGACCCAATTCTAAAAATTTAATATAATCAATATTTACTTATAAGGTACATTAATTATATTAATACATGTCAAGTCTCAAGATAAATTCTGAATAAAAATTTTTCAGTTAAATGTTGCAAATAATTTTTATCATTCAATTTTAAATACACAGATTATCTGTGTAACATATTAAAATGTATGTCATATAATGACAAAGGATTTCTCTATTGGAACATCTTTTATTTCACTGGCTTATTATTTCTGGTTGGTAAGTTTAAAAGACTACAATCTTTAATTTTATTTAGTTAAATGATTTGTTGTATTTTAAAATCAGTAGATAGTATATGTATCATCTTAGTCTTAATTTATAAATATATGACATTTCAATAAAATTCTTGAAGCCAATCAATAAAATTGATTAAGCTTTAAATTCTAGGCTATCTGAGTCTAATTGATTATATTTCTTTATGATTCTTTAAGGGGAAAGCAGACACTTTCTTTTGTTTCAAGATGCCAATTTTCTTTTCTTCTTTTTTTTTTTTTTGAGACAGAATCTCGCTCTGTTGCCCAGGCTGGAGTGCAGTAGCACGATCTCCGCTCACTGCAAGCTCCGCCTCCTGGGTTCACGCCATTCTCCTGCCTCAGCCTCCCTAGTAGCTGGGACTACAGGCGCCCACCACCACGCCTGGCTAATTTTTTGTATTTTTAGTAGAGATAGGGTTTCACCGCGTTAGCCAGGATGGTCTTGATCTCCTGATCTCGTGATCCGCCTGCCTTGGCCTCCCATAGTGCTGGGATTACAGGTGTGAGCCACTGCGCCCGGCCTCAAGATGCCAATTTTCTAAAGTGAGAAAAATTAATTTTAAAAATTAAATCGTATGTCCAATATCTATGTGAGATCAGATAAACCCTGTGTCTTAGATAGGGAAAGGTTTGAAAGTATAATTTTTATAGTTTCTTATTTATCTATCTTTTCCTATATGATTGTTGTTGAAATATCTTAAATTTATTTCACATTAAAATTGTCAAATATGTGAATTCATGAGCCACCTGTTGAAGACCACTGAAAGAATATAAATAAATAAAATTGGTAACTCATTGTTTTTCAATAACTTGTGAAGACTAAGCTCTGATTTTTTTATTTTGCCCAAATTCCTATCTAAGGGGTCTGGGGAGTCATCCCCTACTAACCATAAATTCTCATCAGATGGATTTTATTTAACCCTATATATCATGGCTTACTTTGCAATCTGACTCTGGCATAACATTATGTGACAAAGAAGAAAGTAAAAAAAATTTTATCCCAAAAGCAAGTTTCTTTGCCATATTTTGAAATGGTCCTGCAAAACTGCCCTTTGTTGGGGGACATATGCATCTGTAAAGAATCTCTATTGACATAACTAGATCTTTTCCTTCCAAGCCCTCCCAATCCTGAAGAAATTAGTAAAAGTCAAGCACCTTTTAAAGGTCTGAATAGGAAATATTTGTCATCTATTATCTCTAAGGGCAGCCACTATAAGACTTCAGAAGAACCTTGGTATCCACAATCTTTTAGCTTAACCTGAACATATCCTTTCCTTTGATCCCAGGTTTTTAGACAAACTAAACCAATTGTCAATTGGAAAATACTAAACCAATTGTCAATTGGAAAATGTTTAAATTTACCTATAGCCTGAAAGCCCCCCCCAATCCCTGCTTTAAATTGTTCCGCCTTTCTGAACCAAACCAATGTGTTTCTTAAATGTATTTGATTGATGTCTCATGTCTCCCTAAAATGTATAAAACTAACCTGCACCCTGACCACCTTGGGCACGTGTTCTCAGGATCTCCTTAGGGCTGTGTCATGTGCCATGGTCACTCATATTTGGCTCAGAATAAGTCTCTTAAAATATTTTACCGAGTTTGACTCTTCATCGACACTTGTTTTATTGAACAAACTGGATTTCCATTGTTAATATTACCCTAATAATGTAAAGAGCAGTGAAGTAACAGACTTTTTGTCAGCCTTTTACTTACAGAATAGATGACCCCATGATCTGAGCCCTAATTCCTAAGAGGGGATGCTTTGGAATGAGCAAATCAAGAGGTGCCTTGAACTGGAGATTGGTCCTGCTTCATGGTAGCATTTTCCCAGAAAACATGTCTCCATAATAAAAAAGAGTGACTGAATGGCAGATGAAGATATCCAGTTATAAAGCCAAGAGATAAGCCACCCATTCCAGAATTGCTACTTCCTCCTTTATCTGCAATGATCAAGTGGCAACTGTGACAGTGTCAACAGGTTGTACAGTGCACAAAAGGGATGTTCTGGCTGAGAACAGAAAGTGTGCAAATGATAAGAGAGCAAAAGGAAGAAGTCCTAAATTGAGGAGAAACTGTCCTTTAGGGACAGGAAAAGGAAAATGAGCAAGAAGAATAAAAGATTTTAAAAAGAAATGAAGCTGGAAATCTATCATCATCGCCTAATCCCTAAATACCCCGCAGAGGTTAGAAGAATGCCAAGCATTCCTGAAGTTGATAGACACAGATATAGATAGGTAGGTAGATACATAGAGATAGATTAATAGATAGGCAGATACATACATACATTCATGCATACATAGGTAGCTACATAGACACATAGATGTATTGAATTGTACACATACACGTGTATATATCATATATACCTATGTATGAGAGAGACAAATGAGATATTAAATTATAATTAGCTAAAGACCATTTACAATACCCTATACAAAGAGAAATATCTAAAGTGTTTTTGGATAATTAATTCCATATTCTTTAGCAACTCATCCAATTTCCCACT
The DNA here is from genome assembly GCF_000001405.40 of Homo sapiens. Lineage (NCBI taxonomy): Eukaryota > Metazoa > Chordata > Mammalia > Primates > Hominidae > Homo > Homo sapiens. Next base: position 22,644,846 of record NC_000015.10, read on the forward strand.
GGCAGAGATTCAGGGCAAAGACATTTCAAGCCATTTTACAATGAGTCTCAAAAAGCAGTAAAATACCTTTATTCTGAGCACCATTTTAAACTTTTTAGCAAGTTGATGCTACTGCGACTCTTATTCCTGTCACCAGAGAAGCAATTCAGAAGAATTGTTAATATTTCAGAAGTTGCTTAAACTTCCTGTAAAGTGATAGGCCTGACCTCCTGGGGTTAATGTGAGCATCATAACAGTTAACACACGTAAATGCTTGACATAAGATAAATGCTATGTAAGTGTTAGCCATGATTAGTATTTTCATCACTCAAAAATGCGTCTTTTCCGTCTCATACCATATTTCCCTAAAGTGCCCTGCCGTTTCTTTATCTTTAACCATACTTCCCACTCTTGCTCCAATATTTCTCTCTTTTATATTTTTATTCCTTCATATACTGCTTCCAATACCTTCCTACTCAAACAGAAAGCTGCCTCTGTCCTTTAAGAATACCCACTAGTAGTCCCTAGAAAGATTATTCTTCAGACACTTACCATAAGGTGGGGTGGGGTTAGCATTCACCTTTTTTCATGCTGCCATTTTTAAAACTACACTATCTTAGTCTCCTTATGTTCAGGATAACACCATTCATAATCTACCCCTTCTTCATTGGGCCTCATGCCATCATGTCCACATTTTTGGAATACACAAACACCTGTCATTTTCCTTGAGACCTCAGAGCCCTGTGCAGGTGTCATCCAGTTACCCGGCCTCACTCTTTCGTAACTGGTGCACCAATGACTACCATCATCATTTATGCATTTCTCACCTTAATTAATGGGGAGGGGCCGGGCACGGTGGCTCACGCCTGTAATCCCAGCACTCTGGGAGGCCAAGGCGGGCGGATCACGAGGTCAGGAGATCGAGACCATCCTGGCTTACACGGTGAAACCCTGTCTCTACTAAAAATACAAAAAATTAGCCGGGCGTGGTGGCGGGCGCCTGTAGTCCCAGCTACTCAGGAGACTGAGGCAGGACAATGGCGTGAACCCAGGTGGTGGAGCTTGCAGTGAGCCAGGATGGTGCCACTGCACTCCAGCCTGGGCAATAGAGCAAGACTCCGTCTCAAAAAAAAAAAAAAAAAATTAAGGGGGAGCTTGCCTGAAGGAAATCATTTCCTAGTACTGAATTATGACATAAGTGCATTTGCTGAGACATTTTATATATATGGGCCATTGAATTATGATACTCTTCAACAATATTTTTGTATTAGGCAACAAAATGGATTTCATATGACTATTTGTTGTATTGTTCTTTTATTAAAAGGAGTAGAGCATGGCCCGAAAACTTAATTCAAGGAAAGAAACTGTTGGAGACTAAGGCAGTGTAGTTCAAGTTTGTAGCCTCCTGGTGATTTGATTTGACCAAGGCTAAAATTTATAATACCCAGAGGAGTGACAGCCTTCAAATGATTTTCTGTAAGTATTAAAGTTGAGGTGTTTATTAAATGTCCACTTCTGTTTGGTAACACTTTAAGATTTTCTAGTTATTTTGAAGACTCATAAAATTCTAAAAAAAAAACAAAATCCTTAGTAAAAAATAGTTTCCTCAAAATAAATACATTGCTCACAATTTTAATGATTCAGCATTAAAGCTAACAAGGAAAGGGGTATTATCTGTCTTAAACTATTTGTAATTGATAAATAAGAGGTTAAATTTTTCCCTACAGAGTTTTACTATTGAGCCATTATTCAATTATGAGAAAGAGTAAACTGAAATATTTGCCAAGTACTTATGATATAACAGATATAGTGCCAGGTTGTTTTACATATTGTATATCACTAAATGTCAGAATTAAACTTCTGAAAATCAAAGCTGGCTAAAAGTAGGTATTTAACTTTTGTGGACTTGTTGAAACCCAATACAGAGATGTGTCTACTTGGGATCATGAAATCAAATATTCAGAAGAAATATATTTTTCATGCATATTCTGAAATCAGTGGCTGAAACCACAAGACATAAGTGAACAGAGCTTATAAATATTGATTTATTGAGTTTATTCCCTTAGGTTCATATCACGGAGATGCTTAAAATACTTAAGCTAGAGTTATATTTAAAGTACTGCTATGTACAGATGTAATACAACTTATTTTACAGAGCTTCCCTTTGCGGGGCAAGAATTATTAATGTATGTGGTTATCCTGAGCTCCCTCTTTCTGTTTGCTAATGGGGATTCTGGCTTTGTCTGCTCAATTTCTTCCCCATTGCTCTTCTCTGAAAAGGCACTGCTGGTGGCTGACAGTGATATTCTCTTTCGTATCTCCACATCAGTACAATGATAAGAGGAAACTGGAACAAAAAGGCAGGAGGGGTGGTAGGTAAAGATTGAGAACATGCATTTGAGTAAGGCCTAGGTGAGCTTTCTTCCAGAAAAGAAAAAATATATACATAGTCAGGAGGCAATGACAAATTTTAACCAGAAGGATTTAAAGAAAGAGAGATATGGATAAAACGATATAAAGATGTGTGCATTATATTTTATGTCTTATTCAGATATTACCAAAATACAAATACACTCGAGGTATTTTTACATTATGTTTCATTATAATAGAATGATTTATATTCCTATGAGTATATACCCAGAAATGAGATTGCTGGGTGAAATGGCAATTCTGGTTCTAGGTCTTTTAGGAATTGCCACACTGTCTTCCACAATGGTTGAACTAATTTACATTCCCACCAACAGTGTAAAAGCATTCCTATTGCATCTGTTTTTTGCTTCACTATTCACAATAGCACAGACATGGAATCAACCCAAATGCCCATCAATGATAGACTAGAAAAAGAAAATGTGGTACCTATACACCATGGAATACTATGCAGTCATAGAAAGGAGCAAGATCATATCCTTTGCAGGGACATAGATGGAGCTGGAAGCCATTGTCCTTAGCAAACTAACACAGGAACAGAAAACCAAACACCGCATGTTCTCACTTCTAAGTGGAAGCTGAATAATGAGAACACAAGCACACAGGGAGGGGAACAAAACACACTGGGACCTACTGGGGGGCTGGGGGGAAGGAGAGCATCAGGATAAATAGCTAGTGCATGGGGGCCTTAAAACCTAGGTGATAGGTTGATAGGGGTAGCAAACCACCATGACACACGTTTACCTATGTAACAAACCTGCACGTCCTGCACATGTATCCCAGAACTTAAAATTAAAAAAAAAAATTACATTTCACCTTTTTTAAACCAGAGTGTTGTCATGCTATATCATTTGGATCCCATCATTATAGGCATTATGTATTCTAATAAGATGGCAAGAGAAAAAATGTTTAAGCTGTTCAGGCTGGAGGTAAAATGGAAGAGTTGAGGCTGGTCTTGGCTGAGAGTCAGTTGAGTCTGGACTCTGGCCCTACCTGGCCATGTCTATGGATAAGTTTCTGAACTTCTTTTCTTCAAAATATAACCAGGCTAAGAGCAGCCTGATGGGAGTCCGACTGAGCAGGGTTTGAATCCCAGCTTTGCCATTTAGCATGATGAGATGTGAGGTAAGTTACTTAATTCAAGCCCCACGTCCTCATCTTTAAATGCAGACAACAGTATCTACCTTCAGGTTGTTTTCAGGATTAATATAATTTATGTAAAGTATTTTACCCAACATTTGGCATATATTTGTATACAGTAATTGGCATATCTTTGGTATAAAATAAATGTTACAAAACATGAGTATTTTCCTTGTTATTGGTGTGGTACCTTGCATTTTCAAGTTGTCTTAGTCCATTCACATTACTATAAAAAAACACCTTAGACAGGATAATTTAGACAACTATAAAACAGAAATTTATTGCTCACAGTTCTGGAGGGTGGGAGTTTAAGACTGAAGTGTCAGCAGATTTGGTATCTGGCGAGAGCTTGCTCTCTACTTCATAGATGGTGACTTCTGTGCGTCCTTACTTGGTGGAAGGGGCTAGGGAGATTTTGGAGGCCTCTTTTATGAAGGCACCAATCCCATTCATGAGGGCTCTGCCAGTCACATTCCAAAGCCTTCATCTCTTAATACTATTGCATTGGAGATTAAGTTTCAACACATGAATTTTAGAGACACAAACATTTAGACCATAGCACAAGTCAATATGTTTCTCTTTTGTTTAGATTTGCTGAGAGAGAGAAATTGAGAGACAGATTGAGATTCAGTAAAGGGTAAAGTTACTGAAGTTGTAAAAGTATATTCAAGAGCATTATATGGGAAATGTATAGGGCATTGCAGCAAATAAAATATAATATGGATACTGTGAATGATTTCTAAAAACTCAAGTTTACAAAAAACATATTTTGAAGACTTGAACTGTTTGAAACATTTAATCCTTGTAGATCATGAGTGGAAGAACAGATTCTCTAAGCAGTGAAGAGAAATAGAGCAGTGGTCCCCAACCTTTTTGGCATCAAGGACTGGTTTTGTGGAAGACAATTTTTTTCACAGAGCTGGTGGTGGTGGGGATGGTTTCAGAATGATTCAAGCCCATTACATTTATTGTGCACTTTATTTCTATTAGTATTACTTTGTAACATATAATGAAATAGTTATACGACTGACCATAATGTAGAATCCCTGGGAGCCCTGAGCTTGTTTTCCTGCAACTAGATGTTCCCAGCTGGGGGCAATGGGAGACAGTGACAGATCATCAGTCATTAGATTCTCATAAGGAGCACACAACCTAGATCCCTTGCATGCTTAGTTCACAATAGGGTTCATGCTCCTGTGAGAATCTAACGCTGCTGCTGATCTGACAGGAGGAGGAGCTCAGGGGGTAACATGAGCCATGAGGAGCAGCTGTAAATACAGATGAAGCTTCGCTCACTCAGCCGCCACTCACCTCCTGCTGTGGAGCCCAGTTCCTAACAGCCATGGACTAGTATGGGTTTGGAGAGCCCTGAAATAGAGGATATCCAGCAAGCCTTTCAAATGAGTGAATTATTCCATTCCAACCTCTGGAATATAAAAGATAGTCTCTCACGAATTCACACTGTGTGGCCTTTTGCATTAAAGCAATCACCTAAGTTATCTGGAGCTTCATGTACATGGGTCAGATGTTGCTGGCATTGTCCTAACTCTGCGTGGCTGCTCTCAAATCAGTCCTTCACCATCTCCATGAGAGTCATGCTGTGAGACCCTAATTTCCTTCATTTTTTCAAAGATGTCTGTTTTCCAGGAGGACACGTCTGCGTTTTTAAGGAAAACTCTGGCTACAGGCCATCAGATGTTTTTCCCCCTGCCAACATTCTGGGTAACGTTAGCGCATTTGTGCAAAATACATTCAACACCCTGGCCTTACACCTTTTGATCTCCTTATCTTCAATAACATGTATTTCTACTCTAATTTAGGCACCCACATTCATTGCCTCATCAGGAATGATGACATCTTCTGTAGTTATTCACATTGTATTTTTGAATTTCAGTGGCCCTCTCACCTTTGACTTCAATACCTGATTCTTTTAGTTCTTTAAAATTTTTATTTTCTCTTCACACATTATTTCACCTCCTGTAGAACACTATTTTCTTCCACCTTTGCCTCAGTTATTTACCAAATATCTCTCCTTCTTTTTTTTTTTCTTTTGAGACGGAGTCTTGCTCTGTTCCCTAGGCTGGAGTGCAGTGGTGCAATCTTGGCTCACTGCAACCTCTGCCTCCCAGGTTCAAACAATTATCCCGCCTCAGCCTCCCAAGTAGCTGGGATTACAGGCACCTGCCAACATGCCCAGCTAAGTTTTGTATTTTAAGTAGAGACAGAGTTTCACCATGTTGGCCAGGCTGGTCTCGAACTCCTGACCTCAGGTGATCCAACCACCTCGGCCACTGCACCCGGCCAACCAAATATCTCTTAAGCACCTCAAGTGCTTTACAACATGGAATGCCAGAATATACCAATTCCAAGCAAAATCCACACAGGAGTGAAAAATTCTGTTTAGATAAATGCAACTATTCAAAAACATGCTTTCAAATAACACTTCTTCCTTAGTGCTGAGGGCCATCTTGATACTTTGTTAAAAGGATTCCATGGAAAGACAGAATAGAGAGATTGAGGGAGAGTGTGATGCTTTCTTAAATGCCCTGATCCTGAGTTAGATGTGTCAGCAATGTGTCCTGGAGCTTTTTCTAAACCTCCTGTTTCCACATCTACCACCTTCTATCACACTGGATTCTTTACATAGTTTCCACCACGACACTGTAAATGTTAAGGATGTCAAATCAAGACTGAATCTTGGTTTTTCCATTGCCTTTATATTATAGCAAAGTACCTGGTACACAGTTTATAGTTAATAAGTATTTATCATCTAAGTGGATTAGTTACCCTACATTATCTTCCCAAATAAATGCCGATTTCAAATAAATACCAAATTTTGCCAACTCTCTATTCACACCCACATCTTTCATTTTCAGGAAATGACATATTCTCTTTAATGAAAATAAGGACATAAAGTATCATCTACCTTTATGTAGCCAGTCCCACCCTCCTATAAACTTACCTATAATTGGGTGATGAGTCATCCTTCCTCTCACCTTGTAATTTTTTCACTTGCATAATTTTTCACTTGTAGAATTGATCTAGCTCATGCCTTTCATTGTATCTTGTATCTTTCCCCATTTGTTATTGTGTCTCGTATCTCTGCCTTCAGCCCTTTCCACTTCTCTATCTCTTATTTTGCCTGTAAACATGATTGAGGCAAAATGATTGAGGTAGAATGACATAACCAAAAAGAGGGTAATTTCAGAATTTCACTCCAATGTGAGAGAGCTCCAGTGGGCCCTTTTGTCTTCTAAAATCACCCTCTTTTTTGTTATGCTATTCTCTAGCTTCCAACTACATTTTTTTAAAGAGATGGGGTCTCGCTACATTGACCAGGCTGGTCTTGAAATCCTGACCTCAAGTGATCCTCCCATCTTAGCCTCCCAAAGTGCTGGGATTACAGGCGTGATCCATCACAGCCAGGCCCCAATTACTATCTTGCTGACCCTTTTCTAACTCTCTTCTTTCGAAAGGAGTTTTCAATTTGCTACTTTACTTCCTAATATCCCATTCATGCATCAACCCAATGTAGAGTAGCTTCTATTCTAACTACTCTACCAAAGCTGTTCTTCTATACCGTTCCACTCCTTTCACTCAAAGTACCCCATATTTTTGAAGAATGGTATCATTCATGATACAATGTTCTCTAGTAAGCAGACTTGGACATGGAGATATATACTAGGGAGTGCCCTTGAATCCAAGGCACTGTGAAAAGGAGAAGAAGGAAGCTGGATTGAGGGAAAGGGAAAAAGCTGGGCTGAAAAGAAGTCCTGGACCACAGCTTTGGCTCATCTCACAGGGGACTTTGAAGATAAAATGGCCCACTGGCATCCTTTCACATTGCAATGACATGACTGAGTCTTTATAGGCCCCAAGTCCCCTCCCCACCTCTTTCACCTGCCTCCTTGCCTCACCTCAATCAGTCATTGCATATGCACCACAACTGGGAACCTCAGGACCTTAGGCAGGGGGAAGCTCTGCAGCTGAGGTGACGTCTGAAGGGGCTCACAGCTGAGTCCTGTCTACTGACACAGCTCTCAGGGAGGACCTAGGTGATGCATCTCTGTGTATATCATATATATGAGTAATGATATTAGAGGTTTTATAATTTAACCTTTTTTCTCCTTTTTATCTTTAATCTTCACTGTATTTCAGTCATGGTCTTGAGGTTTCAAAGTGACCTTTAAGATTCAGCAAAGAATATACAGCTTTTTAAACATGGGGAATAAAACAAGAACAATGTGATAGCATAGTGTAATGGTGCCATAGAAATAAACAATAAAAAGAATTTAAAGAGAGAACCAGGAGTCAATTTCATAAATGCCACCATTACATTACTTAGGTTAAGCTTTTGAATTTATCTAGAAAAATGTCATTGGCTAAGACATTAACATTTATAGAGGAATGCAAAAGTGCAAAATTAAAGTTCCTAAGAATCAAGTCCAGAAAAATAGAAAATGTGTAAAGGCTGTTGTTCTCAGTTTGGCAAATAAAATAAAAAAAAAAAATAAGCAAACCCAGAATTGGTTAATTTCAAATAACATTTCTAGTATTTCCCACACATTTTTTTTACATATTTTAAAATCACTAATACAGCATTACATTTTAAAAAGGCATATTTGAATACCTTACCTTGAAATCATAAGATGCATTTGTTCAATGAAATCTTACAGTAAAGCAGCATAAAAAATATAAATTGTACAGTGTGATATAAATGCAAACTATTTGATGTTCAATTTAACCATTTTTTTCAGGAACCTAAATGTTAGTTATTTATTATTACTTTAACGACTTAATATTAATTACAATGAAAAGAATATTGCCTTTGAGATCTTTCATTAATGATTCAGTTCCCAGGCCCTGATTTCTTTATAAACTTATAAATTCTTAAGAGAGAAATGTACTTGGCTCAAATTTAATCATGTTAGAATACAGGTTCTGTATCAACTTAGTTTTTGTAGACACTATATGGTATAAGGAGACAATGTTTAATTTTATGTCAATTTCTTGCATAAACTTGTTCAAGTAATTCATTCAATAAATAGTCATTGAGTTCATATCATGTCCCAGGTACTTTTTTTTTTTTTTTTTTTTTTTTTTTTTGAGATGGAGTCTTGCTCTGTCGCCCTGGCTGGAGTGCAGTGGCACGATGTCCGCTCACTGCAAGCTCCGCCTCCCGGGTTCACGCCTTTCTCCGGCCTCAGCCTCCGGAGTAGCTGGGACTACAGGCGCCCGCCACCACGCCCGGCTAATTTTTTTGTTATTTTTAGTAGAGACGGAGTTTCACCGTATTAGGCAGGATGGTTTCGATCTCCTGACCTCGTGATCCTCCCTCCTCGGCCTTCCAAAGTGCTGGGATTACGGCGTAAGCCACCACGCCCAGCCATCCCAGGTACTATTAAAAACACTGATATTATATGGTGAAAAAGACTGACGGGGTCCCAGTACATGCTTTATATGGAACATACTGATGTCTTTTCTAAAACCTCAAGTATAGTCTCTGATTTGCCTATATAAAGAGTGACAAGTTTTATTTTTACTTTCTGCAAAAATTCAGTTTCTTGTTGTTTTATCATCATACATACAACTTTTATTCAAATATTCATCTAGGGGCCAGGTGCGGTGATCTCTACTAAAAATACAAAAAATATTAGCCGGGCGTGGTAGCGGGCGCCTGTAGTCCCAGCTACTCCAGAGGCTGAGGCAGGAGAATGGCGTGAACCCGGGAGGCGGAGCTTGCAGTGAGCCGAGATCACACAACTGCACTCCAGCCTGGGTGAGAGAGCGAGACTCCATCTCAAAAATAAAATAAAATAAAAAGAAAACCCGATATTAGGGATTTCACAGTGCTGTACGCTGAATGATGGTGCCCCCCACAATTCAGCTGTTGAAAAGTAACACCCATATGATGATATTTGCAGGTGGGGCCTTAGAGGGAGGGGATTAGATCATGACGGTAGAGCCCTCATGAATGGGATTAGTGCACTTATAAAAGAGTCCCGAGAGACTCCTGCCCCTTTCACCAAGTGAGGATGCAGGGAAGAGATGGCAATTCATGAATCAAGAAGCAGGTCCTCACCAAATCTTACGGCACTTTGATCTAGGACTTCCCGCCCTCCAGAACTGTGAACAACAAATTTCTATTACCTATAATCTACCAATTTATGGTATTTTGTTATAGCTGTTCAAATAGATTAAGACACCTAGGATGGGAAACCCGTTATACTGTAATACAGAGATGAGCTTTCTCTTCCTCTAACTACTTTTAAAGTCTAAGATAATTAGGAAATGGTGTTTTGTGTAGCTATATTTTGATTTAAAATTATCTGCCTCAATTACTGATGAACTAACTTGATTTTGTGCCTGAGTTTTAATAACTGTGATATTTTGAATCAATGTGAGTTATTTGATCAGTTCAAAATATCCAAAAAAAATTTATCTGGTTAAGATCATGTGCATCTCCATGATGGGATTAGTGTTCTTATAGGAAGAGAAACTGAGACCACAGCTCTCTGTCTTTCTCTATTTTGTGCCATGTGAAGACATTGTCAGAAGGCAGGAGCCTGTAGTCTAGGAAGGGGGCTTTCACCAGGGACTGAATCTGCCGGCACCTTGTGGAGGATTTCCCAGCCTCCAAAACTGTGAGAAATAAATGTCTGCTTAAGACACCAGTCTCTGGTATTCTGTTACGGCAGCTTGAGCTGCCTAAGACACCATGACAATATAAAAATATTAACAAGATTAGCCTGGGCACCATAAGAAGACCCCATCTTTAAAAATAATACAAATAATAATAATAATAACAACAAACTAAAACATTTTGAATTTTTAAGTGATAATTTTCTCATTAGATACTGAATCACCTACTTAGAAAGATACAGATCCCAGGGCAGGGCGCGGTGGCTCAGCCTGTAATCCCAGCACTCTGGGAAGCCGAGGCGGGCAGATCACAAGGTCAGGACATTGAGACCATCCTGGCTAACACGGTGAAACCCCGTCTCTACTAAAAATACGAAAAATTAGCCGGGCGTGGTGGCGGGCGCCTGTAGTCCCTCCCACCTACCCGGGAGGCTGAGGCAGGAGAATGGCGTGAACCCGGCAGGCGGAGCTTGCAGTGAGCTGACATCGTGCCACTGCACTCCAGCCTGGGCGACAGAGCGAGACTCCGTCTCAAAAAAACAGAAAAAGAGAGCATGATACAGATCCCAAACTCATTATTCTTAGTATTTCTTCTAAAATGTTCATCATTTTGAAGATTAAGATTTCTTAATGCATCTGTACACACATGCATATATTCATACAAATAACTACAGTCATTTTATCAGTTTTATTTTGACTTTTATTTATTTAAAAATATTAAATGTATTTTATAAATGAAGAATGCATGTGTGTATTTATTTATTTATATTTTTATTTTGAGACGGAGTCTTGCTCTTTCGCCCAGGATGGAGTGCAGTGGCGGGATCTCCACTCACTGCAGGCTCCGCCTCCGGGGTTCATGCCATTATCCTGCCTCAGCCTCCCGAGTAGCTGGGACTACAGGCGCCTGCCACCAAGCCCGGCTAATTTTTTTGTATTTTTAGTAGAGACGGGGTTTCACTGTGTTAGCCAGGATGATCTCGATCTCCTGACCTCCTGATCCGCCCGCCTCGGCCTCCAAAAGTGCTGGGATTACAGGCGTGAGCCACTGCTCTGGGCCTCATTCAAGTATATTTATATAGGAATGTCTGAAATACTGCCACCTAATGTTCAGCAATTATTTTCATTTCTGAGCAGTAGAATTTGAGTGATTTTTATTACTTTTGATTCTGCAATGTGATGTATTCTTTAATTTTTTCATAATGTCTTTCGTATTTATTAAAAGGTTAATTAAATCATCCTAAGAATATTTTATGCATATTTTTGTTAAAATGGGATGTTTAATAGTCAAAATTCTCCATTTACTAAATCTTTCTCAGTCAATGCTTCAGACTTTCCTTTTCTACATTTACTAAAAATTTAATTTCAATGTTATATACTAGAATAACATAAAGTATCTATTTTAAATTTTACCTTCACAAACATCTTTAACCAGAAAATGAAATAAGCATTTAAAATATCAAATAAAATACTAGTTTTCAGGTCTGTTGCTTTGAAAATGTGCTTCCTCGTTGAGCAGTATCTGAATTTTTATTACTATACCAGGGTATAGATGAAATATCTAACTAGTATACTTTTAAATTGAAACTGCAAAAAATATATACAGAATTCAGTAGTGCATATTCAGCATGTAAAACATTTTGCCTATTACATTCTTCATGTTGATGGTAGCTATGGCTAAAGTTTGTAGATACTTGGTTTCGTTAGCTTTTAGAGTTGCTTAGGTTAAATATGCTATAATATACCAGTCCCTGCTGGCTTTGAACTACTTGGAATTCTAAGAAGTGGAGCAACATAGTACAAACCTATAGAAAATATGATAAATGTACCACGAATGACACAAAATATTTTCTGCATGTCACATAAGGAGTCATTCTCTATCCAGGCACAGTGGCTCAGGCAGGCGCACACCTGTAATCCCAGCACTTTGGAAGGCCAAGGCAGGTGGATCACAGGGTCAGGAGGTTGAGACCATCCTGGCCATCCTGGCTAACACGGTGAAACCCCGTCTCTACTAAAAATACAAAAAATTTGCCAGGCGTGGTGGCGCCCGCTTGTAGTCCCAGCTACTTGGGAGGCTGAGGCAGGAGGATGGTGTGAACCCAGAAGGTGGAGTTTGCAGTGAGCCGAGATCCCGCCACTGCACTCCAGCCTTGGCTACAAAGCGAGACTCTGTCTCCAAAAAAAAAAAAAAAGTTCCCAATGCACAAATCAATCAAGAATTTCACCCCCAACAGTGAAAAAAAAATGTGAAAGCAGTCAGGTTTTAGTCACTGTAAATCACAATTTCAATTCCACCCCGTCCAAAGAAAGCTATGTACGTCCTTCTCATTCCAAACACATACAGGCCATGAGTTAATAATCTTTCATTCTTCTAAAATACCAACAGGTTTGCTTTTTTACTTTCATTTGTAGTTTATAGCACTCACAATTAAATTGATCCAAATGTATTTGAGGTATATTTTATATATATATATATATGGATCAAAGGTCAATGCTATTGTCTATGCATTAGCCACTCCCATTTATGAGAATTTTCTGAACTTGTTGCTATATATCTCTTAAATGGTGTCCGTTGGCCACATTTCTTTCCTGAGAAACAACTGAGCAGCTGACAATGAAAATGAAGCTCTCTGCATTCCTGTTAGGCATACTGCATACATCTTAGGCTCTCTGCATGCCTCTTAGGCACTTACATTTACATATATTTGTATCTCATTACATAGTGATACAGTCCTAAAATAAAGTAAATAATGAGTTATTTTCTAGACAAATTTGATGAGGCTTTTATTTGATAACAAATTAAAATTATGCCACCAGATGCCTATACCTTGACTTATAAAATGTGTTATGTTCTGCATGGGCAAATAGAAAGTGCAGAAATTGAACGGCTGCCTGGTAAAATTACCTAAATCCACAATGCCACTGGACAACATTGAACTAGATATTTAAATAAGTGAAAGTAATCAAGTAGTTGAGTTCACTGATAAAATTATACTTGGAACCTTACATCATTCCCAGATTAATATATACAATGTATATCAAATGTCATTGCTATGGGAATGGAAACTGTTACACATGAGGTTAAATTTTTATAAGGAATTTTTTTTCCTCTAGAACTGACATTGAGAAACTTGATATCCTCTGTTTATGGCATGTCTTAAGAAAATGTCAACCCAATGTCAAAGGATAATTAATTTTTTTAAAGAAAAGAAAAATAATGGTTCTCATACAAATGTAAAATGAATATATGTTCATGATTTTATTTAACTGATTAATAAATAAGAGTGCCACAGGATGTTTTAACGGGTTCAAAGGAGAATACAAAGAGCAGAGAATATATAGGCAGACATTCAGGCTGAAATGAATTTGCTTAATAAAGGCAAAACTAGCCAATATCCATAGGGTGATGGTCAAATATATCTACACTGGATAATTTGCATTTTCATGGACAGGAATTATTGGCAATTTACACAGTTGTGAAATAGGTAAAACAAACAAAAAGTGAAAGGTTCAGAAACCCCATACAATCAGCTAAACTAACATTTAGTTTTCCATTGAAAATATTTAGCAATTTTTTGAGACCATTTCAAAGTTTTTCTTAATTTTTCTCTGCTCTAAACAAGTATATAAATTATTTCCAATGAAAATTAGAGCTTTTTCTTTGTTGAATTAGTATTTTGAAAAATTTATGGAAGGAGACAGAACATAAAAGCAGTTGCCAAGTTTATCAATTAAGTTGGTACGATTACAAATCCCAATTAAGAAATATTTTTAAGTATATTTTTCTTTCCAAGACAAATAGACATTAAACAGTCCTAATGTTCATATCCTTTATGTTACATATATATGTATAGATGTGTAAGTATATGTATATCTACATGTATATAAAAAGACACAAACTCACATAGTTATTTCAGAGAATTATTTATGGAAATGTGTTGGGTTTTCTTTTTGTAAAGCTACGTTATCAAGAAGTTATTCTTAGTTTTACAGAAAATAAAACAGCTCTAGCTCTTTGTATCATAAGATAAATATCTGTTTATAAATATCAGTATTTTCTAATACTTCTGATGTACTCTTTTGGAGGTAATGGTATATGAAACCCTATAAGAGCAATTCTACTTCATTAATTAATTCGGAAGAAACACAAGTTTTTAAGACCCAGTGTATGCCAACAATTGACAAAGTCATTAAGGTAGACAAAGATGGGTAGAGCCTGGGCTTTGGCTATGAATGTTAGAAAATGAATCACTGAAAGTAAAACATGTTTAAAAGATTAAAATAACAAAAAATGGTTTGAAATTAATTTCAGTTATTGGCCATCAATTGGTTAGAAAGAGTAATTAAGAATGAGTCAAAGCTTTTTTCTCTTCATTTAGGTCAAATATGTCATAAAAATAGTCAATTTTAGATTATTATAAGTCAATTATGTCAAAATGGTTGAATGACATGTCATTGAAATTAATCTTTAGCTTGTAATGCTATCATTTCAGTTTTAATTAATATTGGGGCCAAAATGTTCATTAGATACTGTTTTTAATGATCAGTTTTTATGCAAATGATTTATATAAGTCAGAACTTCAATTCAATGTTTGGTAGCTGTTTGATTTTTAGGACATTATATATTGAAATGTACACTGATTATCCTAAAGTTGTAAATATTTAAGAAACTTTACAGCAAAAAGTCTAAAATAAAGATATATTTATATTATTTCCAAAACAGAAAATTTAAATTGATTCCCTAGTCAAAGAAACTGTTTGTAAATAAAATGTAACAAACTATATATTCCTTGGCCCCCAGACATTTTAAAGTCACTTTTCCTTTTTATATACATGTTCTAATATTATAAACAGTGAGCTCAGGAATACCCTAATTTGTCTTTTGTATATTTTCAGCAGATTGTGCTGTTTCAAATTCTATTATTTTACTCCAATTCTTTTGTTTACATATTGCTTTTTTTGCTAGCGTTTTTTGTATTTTAAAATATATTACTATATTGTATATAGTAATATTGTGTTTCTATTTCTCTTTCTTCATGTTTTATTTTGTTCCATAACCTTTGGCTTGTCCTTTTTATTCCATATTCCCATTTGTAGATGTAGTTTTCAAAGGTGCTTATTTACACAAACTTAAGACTCTTGGGCCAGGCGTGGTGGCTCACACCTGTAACCCCAGCACTGTGGGAGGCCGAGACGGGCGGATCACAAGATCAGGAGATTTGAGACCATCCTGGCTAACATGGTGGAACCCTGTCTCTACTAAAAATACAAAAAAAAATTAGCCGGGCGTGGTGGCAGACGCCTGCAGTCCCAGCTACTAGGGAGGCTGATGCAGGAGAATGGCGTGAACCCGGGAGGCGGAGCTTGCAGTGAGCCGAGATCGCGCCATTGCACTCCAGCCTGGGCGACAAAGCGAGACTCCGTCTCAAAAAAAACAAAAAAACAAAAAACTTTTGAACCAAAATATTCTGAATGAGATCAAAGTCAAAGCTCAAACGTTTCTTAAAAATGAGGTTTTTCTGAGTTGGGAACCAGAGTCATCTATTGCCCAATGCAATAGGCATTGAGAATAGAACTTGCGACAACTCTCTGTTAACAATAGAAAAAATGGGATAAGATAGAGGCAAGGAACATACATTCACGGAGCAAGAGGAAACACTGAAGAACTAATAGAAATTGGGCTTATTAAAATAAACTTACCAAGGTATGGTACCAATTCTCCTTTTTTTGTTCAGTCCATAATAGAGTTCTTAATGCTTTCAATTTTTTTCTTATAATAGTTTTCCTAAATATATTTCATTTATTGGTTTGTTTGTTTTTTACATGGTGTCTCGCTTCATCGCCCAGGCTGGAGTGCAGTGGCGTGATCTCGGCCTACTGCAACCTCCGCCTTGTGGGTTCAAGCAATTCTCCTGTCTCACCCTCCTGAGTAGCTGGGACTACAGGTGCCCGCCACCACACCTGGCTAATTTTTGTATTTTTAGTAGAGACGGTATTTCACCTTGTTGGTCAGGCTGGTCTTAAACTCCTGACCTCAGGTGATCCACCCGCTTCGGCCTCCCAAAGTGATGGTATTACAGGTGTGAGTCACTGCGCCCGGCCCTAAATCTATTATTTAAAAATCCACCTGTACAATTGGTATTCACAGAAATTGCCCATATATGTTATTATTTTATTCTCATAACTCTCTATGCCAAGTATAGATACATTATTGATGTGGAAAATTAGATCACAGAGATAAAGTGACTTTCCCAAGGTCAGTGCAGAAAGGGAAAGGTGAAAATTTGAAATTGTACCTGAAGAGTAAGAGCAAAGGGGTTAAGGAGTTACTCATAGATCTTTGTGCCTCAGAGGTCCTTACTGAGAGTTTTAATCCAAATGGTTTGGTAAATTTGGGGCGACAGCTATAACATGGCTTATGTGATGCTTAGTGTTTTGGAACCATCAAGATCTTTGCAATGGCATCACAGATAACAACCCCATCATCTTGTACAACATGGACATGTTGGGAAATAATGTTTTAGTTCAGTCATTGAACTGACCCAAACTTCTGTGTTCATATTTTTATAGACCTCATGATTGTTAAGATATAAAGAAGCATCAGAAGTTTTGTTTTTTTTTTTTTAATTACAAAGGAGTTAGGATATTCCTAACATCCAAAGTGAATTAAAATAATTCACTTTGATGTGAGAAAGAGCTTCTTGTCTTAGGGACACTGGTGAGGTGAATTCACAACTATGGGTTGTTTTAATTGAATTACATCCTCAGAGGGTTAGTTTTGAGCTCTGAATCTACAATCTGTATTTTGCAAGTAATCAATGGTATTTATTTAAGTGCTCTTGGTAAAGATAATGTGAATAGGGAAATCTGCTTATTTCTAGCATAAAATTGTTTATTAAGCAAAATAATAGAGCACTGCAAATTAACTAGTAAAAAATTGAAATCTTTAACTTTCACACCTTCATTTGATATTTACTGAATATTCTGGGGACTAGCTTATATGTAATTTAGCTCAACTTTTGTTTAAAATAGGAAACTGAACTTTGAAAATAAGTACTTTTAAAAATATTTTAGAATGCAAGATAGTTTTCATGGAAACTTTCATGGAATAATATTCTTTATATTTTAGAATCAAGGTATGTTCCTACTTGGTATTTAATCAAGGAAATACCTAAATCAAGAACAATTCCAAATGGCTGTTTATTAAGTGTGATGGTTTACTAATGTCAACAAAAGTGAAAAAAATTATATTGAAGTATAAATAGTAATCTTGTTTAACATATTTATAAATACATTTTTGTACATATTTGTGTTTTGTACCTATTTATATAAAAAAATTATTATCTTTTGTACAAATATTTTTAAGATCTGGCACTTTTTTAGCACCCCAGAAAAATATTTTTCAGGCTCTCAGCTGATGCTGAGAAAAAGAAGTCAGTCTCATATGTTACCATAGATTAATATTGCCTATCTTTGTCTTCATATAAATGGAAGCATACGGTATTTATTTTTTTCTGGCTTATTTCACTCAAAATTACATTTGTGAAATCTGTTTATGTTATGGACCAGTGATTCATTCCTTTTTGTTTTGTGTAGCACCCTGTTGAATGAATATGGAGCTTTCCAATCCGTTCTATCCTGATGAATATCCAGGTGTTTCTGTTGAAACTGCTGGTCATATATTATGTGTTTAAATGTAGTAGATAATGATAATTATTTTTCCAAAATGGTTGTATCAACTTAATAACTCATTCAAATACGTGAAGACCTTCTAACAATCTAAAAAGATGGACCTCCAATTTCAAATAATAAATAAAAAGATTAAGTACTTGAACAGGCAGTATATGCACATTTTTTAAAATAAAAGATTGAGTTAAATTTTGTAAAATGTAGGCCGGGCGTGGTGGCTCACGCCTGTAATCCCAGCACTTTGGGAGGCAGAGACAAGCGGATCACGAGGTCAGGAGATCGAGACCATCCTGGCTAACACTGTGAAACCCCGTCTCTACTAAAAATACAAAAAATTAGCCGGGCGTGGTGGCGGGCACCTGTAGTCCCAGCTACTTGGGAGGCTGAAACAGGAGAATGGCATGAACCCAGGAGGCAGAGCTTGCAGTGAGCTGAGATTGCGCCACTGCACTCCAGCCTGGGCAACAGAGCGAGACTCCATCTCAAAAAAAAAAAAAAAAAGAGAGAGAAATGTTAAGTAAGAATCTCATTTGAGCTACATGTGTGAAAATATGTCTTTTACATTATTATATAACACAGATTTTGGATATGACGAGTGCTGAACTGAGGCTTTTCACTTGATATGCATTACAAATTAGAATTTTTCACTCACAAAACATGCTTATGACAATTTTATATGTGAATAGAATTGTAAAAATTGCCTTAAGAGTTATTGAATAAAATGTTTAAAGTGCCTCATAGGATGAGGAAAAAATGGAAGAGTTAATTAACAAGGATACAAAGCGTAAAAGATAGAGAAGAATAAGAGTTCAAATAAAATCGAATGAAAAGACACCATCTTGTGTAACTCTGTAGTTAATTGTGCATGTGTGCTATTTTTCATGACTTGGAGCACGTTATTTTTTGGCGAAGAGCTTCCATTCTATCTATGGATATGCCAAAATTTTCCTATTTTAGATCTTCTAGTCTCCAACTCTCAAGATAAAAAACAAAAATCATTAAAACCTCTGACTGATATTGAATGCCTGCAAAAATATCTCCTCCCATCACCTTGCAACAGATGACTTGCTCGTACACCTTTTTGACTACCACTCCCCATCAAGGGTTCTCTCCTTCGAGACGGCAGTAATTCTCTATGTATTTCATGTTATGTGCAAACTTTACTTTCAAAGAGTTGTTACCTATATTAATGTATTTACATCATTCACTTAATATATTTTCTCTATCAGTAAAATTGGTTTAGATATATTGGATTAGGATAGAACACGTCACAATTTTTCTCACCTTTATGATTTTTTTTTTAGTTGGACCGTTTTTCAGTTGGTGACAGTGTCAGAAATGAATTAAAGTTGTTAAGAATAGGTAAGGGTAAAGAGAAGGGTGTCCTTATGTATCAATTTTGCTTATTTAGTTTTTTCAAGTTCAATAAGACCCTCCTCTCCCTTCAAGGAAGATGATTCCTAGGCACGTCTGTTATTTCTATCAAAACACCTGAGGTTTTTTTTTTCATTCATATTGTTAAAATACCAATTGTGGAGCGAAAAATGCTTCACCTGGGACTGTCCCCTGACAGGCGGTGCGACGAGGTCAGGCCCGCGCCCGCCAAGCCCTAGGGCCGCTGCCGCCGACGGCCATGGAGGACGAGCAGCCCGACAGCCTGGAGGGCTGGGCGCCGCTCCGGGAGGGCCTCTTCGCCGATCCCCAGGGGCACCGGTTGCGCTTCCTGGTGGCTTGGAACGGCGCGGAGGGCAAGTTTGCTGTGACTTGTCACGACCGCACCGCGCAGCAGCCGCAGCGGCGCGAGGGGCCCGGCTGGGGCTGGAGCACAAGCCCGAGGCCGCCGTGTCCCCGCCCAGCTGGGCCGGCCGGCTCTCGGCCGCGGGGTTCCGCGGCGCGCGCCGGCAGCTAGCGGCGCTGTGGCCGCCTCTGGAACACTGCTTCCCACGGCTGCCGCCGGAGCTGGACGTGGGCGGCGGCGGGGCCTGAGGTCTGGGGCTCGGGCGGTGGGCGCTGCTGTGGCCGGCGCGCGTGGGCCCCGGCGAGGCGGCACTGCAGGAGCTTTGCGGGCAGCTGGAGCGCTACCTGGGCGCGGCGGCCCACGGCTGTGGCTGCGCCACCGTGCGCGACGCTCTCTTCGCGGCTAACGGCCGCGCGGCCGACTGCGAGAGCCCGCGCGAGTTTCGGGAGCGGGCCCTGCGCGCCTGATGGGTCGAGGCGGACGCGCGGCTGCGTCAGGTAAGCGAGGCCGGGCCGCCGGCGTTTGACCGCGCTTGGGTGGCCTGGGACCCGGTGGGAGGCTTCCCCGGCGCCGAGAGCCCTGGCTGACGGCTGATGGGGAGGAGCCGGCGGGCGGAGAAGGCCACGGGCTCCCCAGTACCCTCACCTGCGCGGGATCGCTGCGGGAAACCAGCGGGAGCTTCGGCAGGGCCTGCAGAGAGGACAAGCGAAGTTAGAGCCTAGTGTACTTGCCGCTGGGAGCTGGGCTAGGCCCCCAACCTTTGCCCTGAAGATGCTGGCAGAGCAGGATGTTGTAACGGGAAATGCCAGAAATACTGCAAGCAAAACTGAAAACAACCCATCCATGTAGGAAAGAATAACACGGACTACACGTAAGCAATTCCAAGTCTGTGTCTGCGGGGACGTCGCAAGTGGGATAAAATGGTTTAAAGGAAGAAATGGCTTTTAGGAGTTAGGGTGTTTTGTTTTAAGTAATACAGACTTGGTCAAATGGAAAGCCGGTAGAAAGTGAGCTTTATTCATCAGTTTAGAATAACCGCATTAGTGCCCTTTTAAGCTTGAAAGAGGTAGTTTGAGAGAGTAATTATTTGAGTGGTAAACTTACTGAACTTAAGGGGACGGGGAAGTACATGTTCATAGAAGGGTTTAGGAGAAAGTATGCCTTCTAAATCCACACCTACAGTTTACTAAGCAGAGCCAGGCTGGAGTCTCGGCTCACTGCTCTTATTAACCTGAATGATATTTTTCTGTGCATTCTTTTGAGGAAGGGGAGGTGAAGAGAAGAATTCAGCCTAAGCTAAATATAGAATAAGCTTTCTAAATTAAAATGGTTTTATAAAAGGAGCTTGTTAGTGGGGTCATTTTTGTACTGTGAGCTTTATGTGTAAATGTCTACACACCCACTTAACGTGTTGATTTCACTTTAGAATATGAGGAAACCACAGGGGAGTTTCAGGCCAGTCAGCTTTTCATCTTCAACTTTATAACTTTCACCTTAGGATATGAGGAACCCACAGGGGAGTTTCAAAAATGGTATCATTTTGTATCAGACTTGTTTTTTAAACACTTGGTTTCTCACAGAGATAGGTGGTTTCTCCTTAAAATCGAACATTTATATGGTGTATTTTACTGTAGTTGCTATCAGAAAAGTTAGTTTTCCCAAATTTAAGTTCACTCTGGGGTACTATAGCATGAATGTAGTTCATTCTGTTGAGCTAGCTGTTCACGTTAGTGTAGTTCACATATTTATCTGGAACTCAAAAATGAGGGGTTGAGAGGGGAAGCTAAAATTCACAACATGTCCAAATATATAATTTTAATATTTACTTTATATTTAGAATAGAAAAGCAATTGATTCTAGAATTAGACCAATTGCTAGCATTGCTAGGATATATAAAATGAAGCTGAATGTTTTAACTCTGGAATTTTTCTGAATAGTCTAAGAAAGAAGGCTGAAATGTACCACTTGCCTTTTGACTTTTGCTTGTGTGTTTTAATTTTGTTCAGTGAGGCTTTCACTTAAAAAAAATGATAATATTATTACCTGGATAAAAAATACAGCTGAAAGTAGATCACTTTAGCCTTAAGCAGAAGGATGGAAATAGAAGACTTTAAGAATGTATTGGTTGAAAAAAATCTATATTATTTGATTTTATTTCTCTTCTTGTGGGAGTAAAATAATTTCCAACCAAATCAGTCCACCTAGATTATACACTGTTCAGTTTGTTTTCTGCCCTGCAGCACAAGCAATAACCAGCAGAGACCGGAACCACAGCTGAGGCTCTGTAAATGAGTTGACTGCTAAGGACTTCATGGGAATATTAACCTGGGGCATTAAGAGAATCAACATGCTAAAGTACTTGGAGACAGCTCTGTAATGTTTTATGAGATTTTGTTTAGTTGAGTTTTGTTTTGTTTTTTGAGAGAGTCTTGTACTGTCGCCCAGGCTGGAGTGCAGTGGTGCCATCTTGGCTCACTGCAAGCTCTGCCTCCCGGGTTCACGCCATTTTCCTGCCTCAGCCTCCCCAGTAGCTGGGAGTGCAGGCGCCCGCCACCACGCCCGGCTAATTTTTTGTATTGTTAGTATAGACAGGTTTCACCGTGTTAGCCAGGATGGTCTCGTTCTCCTGACCTCGTGATGCGCCTGCTGTGGCCTCCCAAAGTGCTGGGGTTACAGGCGTGAGCCACCACGCCTGGCCCTTATGAGCTTTTAAAAAGGAATACAGCCTCACAAAACCTTTACAGTCAGAAAAGTCAAATGAAAAAATATCCACAACCTCAAACCTTCTTTTGGGTCCTTTTCGCTGCATACTTAGTGCACAGTTGAGATTAAATTTTATACTCTGCCTCTCCATTTAATTATAAAAGTCTCTTTTTTTTTTTGAAACGGAGTTTCATTCTTGTTGCCCAGGCTGGAATGCAATGGCACTGTCTCGGCTCACCGCAACCTCCGCCTCCCGGGTTCAAGCGATTCTCCTGCCTCAGCCTCCCCAGTAGCTGGGATTACAGGCGTGCGCCACCACGCCCAACTAATTTTGTATTTTTAGTACAGACAGTGTTTCTCTATGTTGGTCAGGCTGGTCTCGAAGTCCTGACCTCAAGTGATCCACCCGCCTTGGCCTCCCAAAGTGCTGGAATTACCGGCATGAGCCACCGTGCCTGGCCAAAAGTCTCCATATTATTAAACAATCTTCAGAAGCACAGTGCTGAATGACTACACTAATAATATTCTGCCATGGATATATCATAATTTTCTTAACAATTCTTGTTTTATTGGGCATTTTTGATGGAGGATGATAACATTTTCGTATTTAATCAATATTTTAAATTGATGTATTGAAAGTTGAGAACATGAAGGTTTCTTTTGTTTAGCTTTGTTTGTTGGGTATGTATTACACTGTCCTGACTTGAGCTTTATTCACATTTGCTCTCTAGGTTATTCAAGGACACCGAAAAGCCAACACCATGGTAGCATTAATGAAAGTTTACCAAGAGGAAGATGAAGCCTACCAGGAATTAGTTACCGTGGCAACCACGTTCTTCCAGTACTTACTGCAGCCATTTAGGGCTATGCGAGAAGTTGCAACTTTATGTAAGCTTGATATTTTGGTATTTTTTTAAAATTTTTATTTTATCACATTTACTATTTGTCATATATTATTTCTTTATTTACACTTAATCTTCAATCTCTGTACTTTGTTTGGGTTTGTTTGGGTTTACTCTTATGTTTATTTACTTATTTATTGATAGAGATGAGGTTTTGCCATGTTGCTCAAGCTCGTTTCTAACTCCTGAGCTCAAGCAGTCTGCCCACCTCGGCCTCCCAAAGCGTAGCATTACAGGCGTAAGCCACTATGCCTAGTTCACCCTCGTGTTTAAATATTGAATTTATATTTAAAATTGATAGAAAATGAAGACATTTATGTTGGTCATCTTAATAGCTTAAGATTCCTACAGATTTTAAAGAGTTAAATGTTTTTTCTGGCGATGAATTTTTTTTTTGTTTTTTGAGATAGGGTCTCTCTTTGTCAGCTAGGCTAGAGTGCAGTGGCACAATCTTGGCTCACTGCAACCTCCTCCAGGTTCAAGTGACTCTTCTGCCTCAGCCTCCTGAGTAGCTGGGATTACAGGTGTGCACTACCATGCCCAGCTAACTTTTTTTGTATTTTTAGTAGAGACGGGGTTTCACCATGTTGGCCAGACTGGTCTCGAACTCCTGGCCTCAAGTGAGCCACCCGTCTCAGCCTCCCAAAGTGCTGGGATTACAAGCGTGAGCCACTGCGCCCAGCCTGATGAATTGTTTTTGATGTGATGTTTATTTGCTTCAGTTGTTTTCCTCTAAGGACTCATGCAGATTTCTTAAAATAGGATGAAAATTTAAATAGCAGGACCCTAGATTGTAATTCAGTAACTTAAATTTTAGTAAATACAGTTATCGCTCTTGCTTCATTGAGCCATCAAACATCCTTGTGACACCATTCAGGAAAGGCATTCTTATTCCAGTGTTACAAATGAATCTAGAGTCCAGAGTTGTTAAATAGCTTGCCTTGGGTCTCAACAACGGGAATCAGAAGACACCTAAGAGATCTCTTGATTTCTGCCCCCTGCACTGGGCCATCTTTCCACATATAATCTCATGCCCCTGCCAGATGATTGTACTATAAAAATAGTATCACATTTAGATGAAACTCATGCCACTCTAACCTGTGGATAAAGTTGTTCTGTTCATTATTTTGAAAGTCTATTATTTGGAGAGTCTACTTCTTGCATATATTTTGCTTTCTTCTTTTTTTTTTTTTTTTTTTGAGATGGAGTTTCGCTCTTGTTGCCCAGGCTGGAGTGCAATGGCGTGATCTTGGCTCACGGCAACCTCCACCTCCTGGATTCAAGCGATTCTTCTGCCTCAGCCTCCCGAGTAGCTGGGATTACAGGCATGTGCCACCATGTCCAGCCCGGCTAATTTTGTATTTTTTTAGTAGAGACGGGGTTTCTTCATGTTGGTCAGGCTGGTCTCGAACTCCTGACCTCAGGTGATCTGCCTGCCTCAGGCTCCCATTGTGCTGGGATTACAGGCATGAGCCACCGCACCCAGTCTATAATTTTCCTTTCTTTAAGTAACAGCTGTTTTAAAATACCATTCACAGACTATATATATATATATATAATCTGTATATATATATGTATACATATATATGTATGTATGTATGCATGTATATGTACATACATATATGTATATATGTATGTGTATATATGTATACATATATATAATCTGTATAATATATGTATATATGTATATGTGTATATGTGTATATATACGTATATATATATGTATATATGTGTATATGTATATGTACACATATATACATATATATATACGTATATACGTATATATATGCATATATATATATAAAATATATCTACATATATAAAAAGATGTACAATTCAGTGATTTTTAGTATATTGAAAGTTGCACAATGATCATTACTATGTAATTTCAGGACATTTTCACCCCCAAAAGAAACCCTGTACCCATTAGTCACTGCCAGCCCTGGGCAACCACCAATCTACTTTCTGTCTCTGTGGATTTCCCTACTCTGGACATAGCAACAGCATTATTGAATATGTGGTCCTTTCACTCAGCACAATGTTTGCAAGGCTAATCCATGTTGTAGCAAATACCAGGATTTCATTTCTTTTTATTGCTCAGTGATATTCATTGTATGGATATATTGCATTTTTTTCATCAGTTGATGGACATTTGGGTTGTTTCCACTTTTTGGCTATCATGAATAATTCTGCTATGAATGCTTGTGTGTGAGTTTTTGTGTAGACATATCTTTTCATTGCTCTTGTGTACGTACTGAGGAGTAGGATTGCTGGGTCCTGTGATTACCCAGTGTTTAACCTTTTGAAAGACGCCAGATGGTTTTCCAAAGTGGGTGCATCATTTATATTCCCAGAAGAAGTAAATGAGGGTTCCAATTTGTCCACATTATCACCAACACTTGTAATTGTGTGTCTCTTTGGTTACAGCCATCCTAGTGGGTGTGAAGTGGTATCTCGTTATGGTTTTGATTTGTAATTCCTTGTCGGCTAACTTGTACATATTTCTTATGCTTTGTAGAAGAAAAATTGCATATTGGATGACATAGCTGTACATGTCTTAGTTCAGGCTGTTGTAACAAAGTACTGTAGATTAGTGGCTTATAAACAACAAAACTTTTTTTCTCACAGTTCTGGAGGCTGGGTAGTCTAAGATCAAGGTGCTGGCAGATCCAGTGTCTTGTGAGGGCCAGTTTCTTAATTTGTAGATGACTGTCTTGCTGTGTCTTCACATGGTGAAGAGCAGAGAGAGAGATCCTGTGTCTCCTCTTCTTTTTATAAGGGCATTAATCCCAATTTTCTTGAGGTCTCCACCCTCATGACCTAATTACCTCCCAAAGGCCCCATCTTCAAATCCCATCACACTGGGGATTTAGGCTTCAACATATGCATTTTGGGGGGACCCAAACATTCAGTCCAATACCAGTACATGTTATAAGCATGAATATACAGATACTGTCTTTTAGGTGATAATATTACATATCCCTAAAAGAAATGATAACAACAGCTAACACTTAAGTGCTGTTTTCCAGGCCCTGTGCTGAGTGTTTGACAACACAGATCACTCATTTAAACAATTGTGTATTATTATTAATAGAGAGAAGCATAAGTTGACAAC
Organism: Homo sapiens; assembly: GCF_000001405.40. Lineage (NCBI taxonomy): Eukaryota > Metazoa > Chordata > Mammalia > Primates > Hominidae > Homo > Homo sapiens. Next base: position 22,671,184 of record NC_000015.10, read on the forward strand.
ATTCCTCTCTAGAAAAAGTTATTCTAGGCATGTGAAGTGAAAGTAGTTTTTTTTCCCCCCACTTTATGCCCCAGAGGGTCCTTTTGTCTTCCAGGTGGTGCTCAGCTTAGAGCCTTATTCATGTGCAGTAAGGGACTGCTGAATGAATGAAAATTTAACTGACTGAGTAGTAGTGTAGTTAAATTAATCCATGTGACCAATTTCCTTTCAATTTCCTAATGGTTCTACATAACTATTAGCTCTTACTAAGATAATTTTCCCTTCTGTCTGTAGAAGTCCTTGGATGAGGATGACCTAGGTCCTAGAAGGGTAGTTGCCCTGGAGAAAGAAGCTGAAGAATGGACCAGACGGGCTGGAGAAGCTGTCGTCTCTATTCAAGATATCACAGTGAATTATTTTAAGGAGACAGTAAAAGCATTAGCAGGTGATAATCTAAAAAATGCTATACGCAGATACGTGTAATTGATTGTCATTTTATTCAAATACCATTTGAGTCCCTCTTACGCACTAGGCACTGTGTTTTCTAGGTGGCGAGAATTCAGTGTCAAACATTAAGAGACATTGTACAGTCTGGTGAAGGGAGAGAAATCTTAATTATCTATTCACTGAAGCACACAGAAAATGGCAGTGACAATAAATGGCACAAAGAAGAGAGACATGGGGCTCTGAGGGTCTGTGAGAGAGAAATTGGGCTTGATCAGGGTGGTCACTGAAGGCCTCTGAGAAGTGGCGCTTGCCCCAATATCTGAAGGGTAAATGGAAATTGAGAGAATAGAAAAAGTGAGGAGTGTTCTGGGCGGAAGGAATAGCACTGGCGAAGGTCCCCTGGCTTGAGGGAAGTTGGCAAATAGGAGCTTACAGAAAACCTGCGGGGCTGGATCGCAGAGAGTGCAGGACAATGTGGTATGAGGGAGAATGCTGGCAAGACAGGCAGGGATCAGACCGTGCAGGGGCTTGCGGGCTGGGTGAAGGACTTTTTTTCAGTCTTAAATAATTGTTGATAAAAACACCAAATAGGAAACAACTTAATGTCTGTCAGTTTGTTAAGTTATGGTACATTCATAAAAGAGAAAACTACATAGCTATTAAGCATGATTCTTGATTTTTTTTTTATAAATGGCAGGAGTTTCTGATATATTGCACAGAATCAACAAGATATAAAGCAGAATGATGATCCTGGTTTTTTGGTCAAACTATCCATATGAGCCTGTCTGTCTAGCTAGTCATAGAAACAATATGGAAGCAAGTGTGCCAAAATATAAGAAGCACTTGCCTCAACTAGGTGAGATCATGACTTATTATTGTCCTTTTAAAAATTGAATACCTAAAATTGTATATTAATGACCATGTATTATTTTTATAATAATAAAAAATTAATAAAACAAAATTTCTTTTAAAAAAGATGTTCTGCAGGTAGTATGGAGGCAATAAAAAAAGAATTAGCTCATGATCAATGTTTCCCTTTTTAATGAGGTGTAATTATATTTTATTTTTATAATCTAACAGGAATGCAGAAAGAAATGGAACAGGATGTGAAGAGATTTGGCCAGGCTGCCTGGGCCACAGCAATTCCCAGGTTGGAAAAACTTAAGCTAATGCTAGCTCAAGAGACTCTGCAACTCATGAGAGCGAAAGAGTTATGTTTAAATCACAAAAGAGCTGAAATTCAGGGAAAGGTAAGACAAAGATAAACATAACTTTGTTTTAAAAATACACTTGTATTTATTTTTTATTTTATTTTATTTTTTTTGAGACAGAGTCTCGCTCTTTTGCCTAGGCCGGACTGCAGTGGCACGATCTCGGCTCATTGCAAGCTCCGCCTCCTGGGTTCATGCCATTCTCCTGCCTCAGCCTCCCAAGTAGCTGGGGCTACAGGTGCCCGCCACCGCGCCCAGCTAATTTTTTGTATTTTTAGTAGAGACGGGGTTTCACCGTGTTAGCCAGGATGGTCTCGATCTCCTGACCTCGTGATCCGCCCACCTTGGCCTCCGAAAGTGCTGGGATTACAGGCGTGAGCCACCGTGCCCCGCGCCACTTTTATTTTTTAAAAATTTTGTATAAATAAAGGATACAAGTGCAGTTTTGTTCCATGGATATATTGTGTAGTGGTGAAGTTTGGGCTTTTAGCGTAATCATCACCTACATAATGTAATTGTACCCATTAAATATTTCTCATCCCCCCTCCCACCCTCTTACTCTTCTGAGTCTCCAGTGTCTGTTATTCCACACTGTCTGTGTATACACTACTTAGCTCCCACTTATAAGTGAGACCATGTGGTAAAGCACACTTGTATTTTTAGATAGCACTTTTCTTTCCAGGCATTGTTAAAGAGCTGCTTTTCTTCACTTATTCCAACACCATCTCCTATGGAAGGTTAGACATAAAGTTTTCCTTTGGTTAAGATGTTTCAAAATACCACACTGTAGGATTCACTTTATAGTAACACCAAGCCCAGTATTGAAGTGGGTACTGTACTTGAAAATCAATCCAGCAATGTTTTCAGTACAGCTTTAAAATAATCAAAGAGATACTTCCCTGAAGGATCTTAGACACTTAAGTTTTTTCCTATAATCTTATGACTTTAAAGCAGAAAACACTGTAAACACCTGTCTTAGTTGGCTAAGGCTGCTGTAACAATATTAAATGTCACAGATTGGGTGGCTTCAACAATGGACATGTATTTCTCACAGTTCTGGAGGCTGGGAAGTCCAAGATCAAGGTGCCTGCAGATTCACTGTCTGGTGCGGATCCTCTTCCTGTCTAGTAGACAGCTGCCTTCTTAACTGAGTGCTCACATAGCCTTTCTTCTGTGTGTATGTTTGGAGAGAAAGAAAGTGATCCCTGTCTTTCTCTTCTAATAAGGGCACTAATCCCATGATGGGGGTGCTATCCTTTTGACATAATCTGAACCTAATTACTTCCAAAGGACCCACCTCCAAATAACATCACATTGGGAGTTACAGTGTCAACATATGAATTTTGGGGGGACACCGATATGCAATACATAATAATACCTCATTGCCATTTATGTTTCTCAAAACCTAAATGTTTTTCTCTGTTTCAAGGATGGGATAAAGTATTAGCATCACTAGATGAAATGAAAAAGTGTTTCTTTCCTATTTGCTCTTTTATATTTAGTACGGAACAAGGAATAGAAAATAGCTAGAATGCTTCTAAAGTTTGTTTTTAATATACTATTTGTTTTAACTTATTTTTCTTTTTTCTATGAAAATAAGATGGAAGATCTTCCAGAACAAGAAAAAAATATAAATGTTGTAGATGAATTAGCAATACAATTTTATGAAATTCAGTTAGAACTATATGAAGTTAAATTTGAGATATTAAAAAACAAAGAAATACTGCTTACTACACAGTTGGACTCTCTTGAAAGACTTATAAAAGGTAAAGTTTTTATTTAAGTATATAGATTACAATGTTTATAAATTTAAGGAAATACAGACCATATTATCAATTACTTTTTGTAAACTGTAACATCTGAAAATTTCCTAAAGTTTTCCTTCAGTGGTTTATTATTCAAATAATATATTCATTGTTAGCACATAGCAAAACAAAGAAAGAAAAATGATTATTACCCCAATCCCATCATCTAGAGATGCTCAATGGTTGGCTGGGCACAGTGGCTCAGGCCTATAATCCCAGCACTTTGGGAGGCTGAGGCGGGCAGATCACTTGAGGTCAGGAGTTCCAGACCAGTCTGACCAACATGGTGAAACCCCGTCTCTACTAAAAATACAAAAATACTAAACCCTGTTTCTACTAAAAATACAAAGTCCAATGTGGTGGCACGTGCCTGTAATCCCAGCTACTTGGGAGGCTGAGGCAGGAGAATGGCTTGAACCCATGAGGTGGAAGTTTCAGTGAGCCAAGATCGTGCCACTGCACTCCAGCCTAGAAGACAGAGCGAGACTCCATCTAAAAAAGAAAAAAAAAAAGACAGATACTTAGTGGTAACAATTTGCTGTATAACTTTGTAGATTTCAAAATATGCTGATATGTAAAAATATAAATTTTTAACCAAAACTACATAACCAGTTCAGTAACATCTTTTTTAAAATTTTTTAATGTTTAGGGGTGCATAGCAGATATATATATTTATGGGTTACATGAGATATTTTGACACAGGCATACAATGCATAATAGTCTCTTTTTCATTTAATACATAATAATTGTCTTTCTGTTTCAGAAATAATAAAAGTATCAAAATTTTAATGGCTGCATAGTATTCCATTATATGGATATACCGTGATTTCCAAATTTCCGCTGTTTTGAACAGTAGTGTAGTGAACTTTCCTTTACACATGTCTTTGAGTATAGGACAGATTATCTCCTTGGAATAAATATCTAAGGATGGAATTATTGGGTCAAGGGCAATGTATATTTTACATTTTGCTATGTAACAATACAGCAGTCATCTGAGATACATTTTTCCTCACCTCTGTATTATTTTCTGATTTCTAAATTTCATACTATGTAGTGGCCCTCTAGATAGGTCGTACATTTAAAATGACGCTCCCAGGCTGGGCGTGGTGGCTCACGCCTGTAATCTCAGCACTTTGGGAGGCTGAGTGGGGGCAGATCACTTGAGGTCAGGAGTTCAAGACCAGCTTGGCCAACGTGGTGAAACCCTGTCTCTACTAAAAATACAAAAATTAGCCGGGCGTGGTGGTGGGTGCCTGCAATCCCAGCTACCTGGGAGACTGAGGCGGGAGAATCGCTTGAACCTGGGAGGTTGAGATTGCAGTGAGCTGAGATGGCACCACTGCACTCCAGCCTGGGCGACAGAGTAAGACTCTGTCTCAAAAAAAAAAGAAAAGAAAAAAGACGCTCCCATCAGCAGAATATGAGTGTGTATGTTTCCCAGACTCATGCCATTCTTTTGCATTTTTGCTTACTTGACAGAGAAAATGGCAGTCTTCCAATTTTCATTTATTTAATTATGAGTGATTATTGAACAAAATTTTGTATGTTTACAAGCCATTTGTACTTATTTTATGAAATGCCTATTCATAGTCTTTGTCCATTTTTCTTTGGAATATTTCCTTTCAACATTAAGAATAATGTCCTCTATTGTCTGTCATATGTTGCAAATAATCTCTCCTTGTCATTTGCGTTTTCTTGCCTTTCAGAAATATTTAAGTTTTATGAAGTCGTGTTTATCGATTTTTTTCCCCTATGGCTTCTGCTTTTAGTATTATGTCTGGCAATAGTCTCCTATCCCAAAATTATGTCAATATATACTTATGTTTTCTTTCAGTATGTTTATGATGTTATTTTTTAAAACATTTAATTCTTTAGTCCAGGTGGAATTTATTTTGATTGTGGTAGGAATTGAACCTTTCCCTCAAATTGTTAAACAGTCCCAATCACTGATTTTAAAAACATTTTCCCTAAATGTTTAACATTTCTCCAGTTAAACATTAGATTGACTTTGGTCTGTTTCTGAGTTGTTCTCCTCCATTGGTTCGTGAGTGGCTTCTGCTACTGGCTCCATACTGTTCCCACAACTGTCTTGGAGGCACATTTTAGGGTCTGGTAAGGCAAGTACCCCCCACATTACTTCACAAGTTTTCTGACTATTTTCACTCCTTTATTCTTTCAGATGAAATTTAGAATCAAGTTCAAAACAAAAAACTCTTTGGAATTTTGATTGTGATTTTGCTTAAAATTAGAGATTACTTTGGGGAGAATAGTGGTCTTTGCAATTTTGAATCTTCCTACCCAAGAACATGGTATGTCTCTCTCCATTTATTTAAATCTTTTTTCCTAAAGTTCCTCCAAGTTTAATAAATTTCTTCACATAGATCCTGAACTTTTAGTTTAATCCTGAGTATTCAGAATTTTTTTCAGTAGTTTCAGGTTATAAGCATTTTACATATTTAGGAAAAAAATTACATTAAAAAAGAAGTTAATCTGGAAGGATGCATGCCAAATTGTTCATAATGTTTTTCCTCTGAGAATGACTCAGAAGGTTTGGGGAAGGAGCAATAGAATTTCACTGTTTATTTGATGTACTTCGGGTGGGTTTGAATTTGTTACAGTAAGCATGACTTTTAAAAAATCAATATGTAATCAAGATTAAATATCACTAAGGCATCTTAATAATATATTGCTGGTAGAATATAAGTTGCCTTTCTGGAGGGCAGTGTGGCAATGGGTATCAAGATCCTTAAACACTTATCTGCTAAGGAAGTGATAAAAAGCATACACAAAGATTTATACAGAGATGTTCATCACAGTGAAATGAATAATAATGGAACATTGGAACAGCCTAACAACATGGATTGCTTAAATTAGAGAATACTATGCTGCCATTAAAATTTATCTTTTTTAAATTTTTTTTTGTTTTTGGAGATGGAGTCTTGCTCTGTTGCCCAGGCTGGAGTGCAGTGGCACGATCTCGGCTCACTGCAACTTCTGCCTCCCAGGTTCATGCTGTTCTCCTGCCTCAGCCTCCTGAGTAGCTGGGATTACAGGCACACGCCACTGTGCCCAACTAGTTTTGTATTTTTAGTAGAGATGGGGTTTTGCCATGTTGGCCAGGCTGGTCTTGAACTCCTGACCTCAGGTGTGCAGCCTGCCTTGGCCTCCCAAAGTGCTGGGATTACAGGCGTGAGCCACCGCACCTGGCCTAAAAATTTATTTCCATCCCATGGAAAGTGTTCTTTTAGAACTCCATTGATACGTGTAGCTATGTAAGTAGTATGTGTGTGTGTGTGCATGTGTATATATACATATGTCTATACAGGTATATATACATGCATATACTACTTACATGTATATACACACATGCTACTTACATACATGTGTATAGTCATGTATATATACACATGTGTATATGTATATTACATTTATACACAGATTTTTTATATGTTAATAGTGATTCTCAGTGGTGGGATTACAAGTGATCTTTATTTTCCTTACATTTAAAAAAATTCAATGTATTTTTACAAATAATAAAATATGTTTTAAACAATCATTAATACCTTTTTAGAAAAACAGGATGAAGTTGTCTATTACGATCCATGTGAAAGTCCAGAGGAACTTAGTCATTGACTGTGGTGGGGCTGCAGGACGATAAGAATTCGGAAGTGAAAGAACTCAGAAGGCAGTGCCAGCAGCTGGAGTCTATTAAACGGGGCAGGATCTGTGTCAAAAGAGCTTCTCTCCAGAGTAGAAAGGTGGGTACGCTCAGAGCGGCTTTCTTTTCTTTTCTCTTCCAGAGATTTATTCTTGTATGAAGGATAAAGAGGTATTGAAATAAGGTTTTTACCAACACAGTGATTAATTTTTTGTGTGCTTATGAACTTATCCATGGCTATAGTTAAAATGATTTTTAATATTTTTCTTAAAAATATTATTTTTTTCTTTTGGGTTTTAAGCATTTAGCAAATCTCAAGGTTTTAATTTATTCATTCAACAACTATTTGTTGAATTCCCACTGCATACACAGGCACTTTATTTTTATTTTTTTTGAGACAGAGTCTTGCTCTGTCACCCAGGCTGGAGTGCGGAGGCATGATCTTGGCTCACTACAACTTCTGCCTCCTAGGTTCAAGCAATTCTCGTGCCTTAGCCTGCCAAGTAGCTGGGTTTACAGGCACGTGCCACCACGCCCAGCTAATTTTTGTATATTTTGTAGAGACGGGGTTTCGCCATGTCGGCTAGGCTCGTCTTGAACTCCTGACCTCAAGTGATCCGCCCACCTTGGCCTCCCAAAGTCCTGGGATTACAGGTGTGAGCCACCACCCCCGGACCACAGGTACTTTAAAAACCACAATAGGTAGAAACTCTATTTCTAATAACCAGCTATAATAATTCTAAATATATTTTAGTACACAAAACAATTACAGATAACAATATTCAGCTCACCTCAGACCTTGTATTTGGTGATTTTTTTCTTAATTTTTAAAAATCCATGAATACATAAAAAGATAACACTAAGAAATTTAATTTTTTCTGACAGAAAAGGAAGCTTCTATATATCATTTTTATACAGACTTTTATGTGTATTTACTCATATTTACTATACTTTTCTCCCTTTTTTTTTTTTGATGCGCAGTCTTGCTCTGTCTCCCAGGCTGGAGTGCAGTGGCGTGATCTCGGTTCACTGCAACCTCCACCTCCCAGGTTCAAGTGAATCTGCTGCCTCAGCCTCCTGCGTAGCTGGGATTACAGGTGCCTGCCACCAAGCCTGGCTAATTTTTGTATTTTTAGTAGAGATGGGGTTTCACCATGTTGGTCAGACTAGCCTTGAATTCCTGACCTCGAGCAATCCACCTGCCTCAGCCTCCCAAAGTGCTGGGATTACAGGCGTGAGCCACTGTGCCGAGCCTACTATACTTTTCTTGTTAGAATTAAGAAAACATGAAAATTGTGACTTTCGTAGCTTACAAAAATGTTAATTACTCTTCCATGTAAATACAAATACTTAAAAAAAACTTGGCTAGGTGCTGTGGCTTATGCCTGTAATCCCAGCACTTTGGGAGGTTGAGGTGGGAGAATCACTTAAGGCCAGAAGTTCGAGACCAGGGACAACACAGGGAGACCTCATCTCTGTGGTGCGCATGTATAGTCCCAGCTACTCAAGAGGCTGAGGCAGGAGGATTGCTTGAGGCCAGGAGGTTGAGGCCTCAGTGAGCTGTGATTGTACCACTGCACTCCAGCTAGGGTGATAGAACAAAACCCTGTCTCTAATAAAAATTAAAAATAAAAAAATTTGTTAGAAGAGTATATTCTTTGCATGTTCATGTTTAAGAATTGTACTTCTGGATTTAGGAACTGTTATTCAGAGGATTTGAAGATCTACAGGCATTTGCCCTTTGCTCCACATTTCAGAAAACCCATGAGCCCCAAGAGGAGTCTCCTTTGGCACTCCCATGGTGCTGTGGATGAACAGATGCCTCCACCTCCTTGGCAGTGTTATATGTATATGTATATAAAATGCTCCTGTGCCTTCTCTTATCCAGACTTGGAGCATTAACCTTCACTCTCAAGATATAATCACTCCCCCTACCCCATTTAGAGGAGCTCTTTCCACTGATTCTGGAAATGTTGGAATTTGGAAGGCACTCGGTTAATAGAATGGTAGTTGAGGTGAGCTCTCAACTTGGGTTCAGATCGCAGTCTGGCCACTTAGGTAGTAGTCATGTGACATTAGGCAAATTACTTAAATCTCTTTTGGGCTCACAGTTTTCTCCTCTGTTAAAAGAGGATGATAGATCAGGCACGGCACCCGTAATCCCAGCTACTTGGGAGGCTGAGGCAGGAGAATCGCTTGAACCCAGGAGGCGGAAGTTGCAGTGAGCCGAGATCATGCCATTACACTCCTCCAGCCTGGGCAACAAGAGCAAAACTCAGTCTCAAAAAAAAAAGATAGTGGTAATAATACAAATTTCATGTGACGATAGAGTAGCATAAGGCATGAAAAGTACTTATCATTGAAGCTAAAACCTACTCAATAAATGTTAGTATTATCTGTGAGTATTACTGTATTATTTTTTACATAGATTAAGGATTTTATGTACATATAGCATATTATATATTGGTATAGTGAGTGGTTAAGCACAGGTGAAACACAGTTATAACAATTTTTCAGTTGCTCTGCGTTTGTAGGTATGCTTGGAAATGTAATTAGTATTTATAATGTTATGGGGAAATGTGTTTAAAACAATCACATTAAAACATTGTTGGGACACATCCCATTTAAGAATGGGGGCTGCCTGTGTGTCCTCTCATGGTTGGCGGATTGTTTTCACCTCTTAAAGCACTCTGCTGGGAATAAATTATTTCCATAAGCAGCCAGGCAACTCTCATCATAGACTGTGGAGGAGAGTACCATTGGGCCGCACCAGAACTAATATTAATGAATGCCTTACACTACGCCCAAATGCAGTGCTTTCTTCTTTTAACCTTTTATGCTATACCAGGGTAACACTAAAAACCATGTAGGTGATTTGTATTATTCCACCAGGATCAGTGCGAAGAAAATCATTGGCTCAGATTGCAACAGGCTGAAGAAAGCATAAGATATTCTCGTCAGCATCACAGTATTCAGATGGTGAGTGTCCTCCGAAGGAAAATGTTCTATGTTTGTGTAGCGTGACATGCAGGCCTAGACTTGTGGAAACTGGAGTTGCGCTGCCCTGGACCTGCAGCTGTCAGCCAATTCACCTCCAGGCCTGCAGTCTGGTTGCAGTCTTGGGGTGGTAATGTTGGGGTACAGCCTCTTTCTTTGTCAAGACATTTTTATTGTATGCCACGACATTTTTGTAATGTTGAGCAATTTACAAATATACATCTGCTTAAATATAGAAAAGAGACAAGATAAAAAGGAGCAAAAGAAAAAAGAATGGATCAACCAAGAACGTCAAACACTCCAACAATTGAGAGCATTTAAAGATGTAAGTTTTATAAACAATCACCTCATCTACACTTCTGGGGAAATAAATGAAGACCGCTCTAAAGAGGAAAGTATTAAGAACAGGTCATTCAGAACATGTAACATTTAAAAAATAACATTATTTCTGGTATATCAATAAAAAGCAACAACAAAAATAGAATATCAGTGATTCAAAACCCATGATATAAAATAACTGCTGTTTTTGACATCACAACACGCTTGGGTTCCTGCTCTGCACTCTTCACTGAGTAGTCCTTACTGGCACTGGTGGTTTAGATTGGCAGGGAAAACTGAAAACTGTTCAACTCCCTTGACTTTAGCTGGCATTTCCTCTCATTTGTAATAAACAATTCTTTAAAATGTTATCCAGGCAGCATTGTGATATAAGTGTAGTGAAAGTGCCCAGTTAAAAGTAAAATGTGTTGTTTTTTTTTTTGATATCTACAACTTTCTTTTTTCTTTTAAAGTATATACTTAAGAGGATGATGTTATTTTTTTATGCCCTCTGTTCCAGGCCTACATTTGTATTTCCTCCACAAAATGATCCTCAGTCTGTAATTTTTGTTCTATTTGACTTTATTATTAGAGATAAATTCCTTTAATTAAAAAAAAGCTACTATGAAGGTTGAAAAAATAATTTTTTGGTTTTTTTTAATTGACACATAATTGTACATATTTATGAGGTATAGTGTGATATTTTGAGGTGTATAATATGGAATGATCAAATCAGGGTAATTAGCGTATCTATCACCTCAAACATTTATCTAAAGGTAAATAGGTTTTTTAAAATAATGTAAATAGGGAGTCCGGCACAGTGGCTCATGCCTATAATCCCAGCACTTTGGGAGGCTGAGGCGGGTGGATTGCTTGAGACCATGAATTTGAGACCAGGCTGGGCAACATGGTGAAACCCCAGCTCTCCTAAAAATACAAAAATTAGCTGGACATGGTGGTGCATGCCTGTAGTCCCAGCTACTTGGGAGGAAAAATACCAATTGTGCACATATTTTTGTAAAATTATACATAAACGCTTTATTTTTTATGTCATTCTAAATAATTTTTTGTATGTTTCTATTTCCAAACGTTGTTTGGTAATATATAGAAATATGATTGATTTTGTTTATTGAGTTTGCATATAACCACATTACTAAACTCGCATATTGAGAATTTTAATAGGTTATTTTGAATACTTTTACATAGACTGTTGTCTGAAAATAGAAACAGGTTTATTTCTTCCTTTCTGATGTGGATGTCACTGATTTTTTTCCCTACATTACTGATCTGGCTAGGACTATCAGTATAAAGTTGAATATAAGTGGTAAAAGAGCTGACTTCTTGCCTTGGACCCAGTTTTTAAATCAGTTGGAGAGTCACCATTAAGTGTAATTTAGTGGTAGTTTTGTTTGTTTTTTTTTTTGTTTGTTTTGTAGATGCCCTCTATCAGGATAAGTTCCCTTTTCTCATTTTGTTGAGAGTTTTTATAAAGAATAGCTATTGAATTTTGTCAAATGCTTTTTTTTTTTTTTTTTTTTTTTTTTTTTGAGACGGAGTCTCGTTCTGTCGCCCAGGCGGGAGTGCTGTGGCGCGATCTCCGCTCACTGCAAGCTCCGCCTTCCGGGTTCACGCCATTCTCCTGCCTCAGCCTCCCGAGTAGCTGGGACTACAGGCGCCCGCCACTGCGCCCGGCTAATTTTTTGTATTTTTAGTAGAGATGGGGTTTCACCGTGGTCTCGATCTCCTGACCTCGTGATCCGCCCGCCTCGGCCTCCCAAAGTGCTGGGATTACAGGCGTGAGCCACCGCGCCCGGCCGAATTTTGTCAAATGCTTTTGCTGCATCTGCTGAAATGACACGTTTATTCTTCATCTACCTAATAATGTTGCAATTTATATCTGTTGAGCTTTGAATGTTGAACCAGCCTTGCATTCATGGTATAAATCACTTGTTTGTAAAGTATTGTTTTTAAATATTGCCAGATTTGATATCTTAGTATTGTATTTTTATATTTGTCTTCATGTGTTTTTGTTTTCTCATAAGTGTCTGTACCCCCCTTTTTTTTTCTTTAAAGAGAAATAATGAGAGAGATTGTCTGTCTTGAAGTTCTCAGTGCCTGTGCATTGCTGCCACTACACAGCTAGTATCATGACAGCAGCTTCAGAACCAGAGCTGGCTTCCAGGCAAGGCTGGGTGGGGAAGAAAGAGAAAAACAAAAGAATTATTTCTCTATGCCGAGACCAGCTCGGTCAGGGAGACCCTAACCTAGCGGTGCTAGAGGAATTAAAGACATAGACACAGAAATATAGAGGTGTGAAGTGGGAAATCAGGGGTCTCACAGCCTTCAGAGCTCAGCCACGAACAGAGATTTACCCACGTATTTATTAACAGCAAGCCAGTCATTAGCATTGTTTCTATAGATATTAAATTAACTAAACGTATCCCTTATGGGAAACGAAGGGAGGGGCCGAATTAAAGGAATAGGTTGGGCTAGTTAACTGCAGCAGGAGCATGTCCTTAAGGCACAGATCGCTCATGCTATTGTTTGTGGCTTAAGAATGCCTTTAAGCGGTTTTCCACCCCGGGCAGGCCAGGTGTTCCTTGCCCTCATTCCAGTAAACCCACAACCTTCCAGCATGGGTGTTAGGGCCATTATGAACATGTTACAGTGCTGCAGAGATTTTATTTATGGCCAGTTTATGGCCAGATTTTGGGGGGCCTGCTCCCAACACTCTACATATGCTCCATCTTGCAGAGGCTTCATTCTTGGTTCTCTAGCTAAAAACAGTAGAAATTTTGCACACCTGGGTTAGAAAAAAAAATAGCCATTAAACCCACCCCTGTTACAGGTCACTATTGGTATTTTGATTTTGCCTTCAATCCATCTGTTATTGTTTACTTTTAAGAGTCCTTGATAGTTGCTTTTTATGTCCAGAGTTTTAATTTCAGTCAGAAAGAGAAATAGGCCTTGGTGAGCATGCTTTGTCTTGGCTGGTGCCAGAAGTCTGTACTCAAATATTTTTAAAATAATTTTTAGTTGAATAACAAGTTAGACCTGTGTTTAGCTTTCTCATTGTTTTCCTAAAAATAGAAGAAAAGGTTTTAAATACTTTAACCACGAAATACTTTAAAGCAGGTTTAAAATAAACTCCTTCATTTTGCCTGTTCTATTACTCTGTTCTCACACTGCTAATAAAGACATACCCAAGACTGGTAATTTATAAAGTAAAGAGGTTTAATTGACTCACAGTTCCACATGGCTGGGGAGGCCTCCCAATCATGGCAGAAGGTGAATGAGGAGCAAAGTCACATCTTTGTGGCAGGCAAGAGAGAGAGCATGTGTGCAGGGGAATTCCCCTTTATAAAACCGTCCAATCTCATGAGACTTATGCACTCTCATGGGAGCAGCATGAGAAAGACTCACCTCCGTGATTCAGTTACCTCCCACTGTGTCCCTGCCACAACATGTGGGAATTGTGGGAGCTAAAAATCAAGATGAGATTTGGGTAGGAACACAGTCAAACCATATCTCCTGTATACATTCACACTAGCATTTTAGTTTTAGAACTAGTTCTATGTTACTATCTGAATTAATTTTTCCACAATTTTGTAAGGAAAAATAATGCGTTCTTTGAATTTCATGTGTAAATGATATTTTTAGTTTTGTGTCATTTTGTCCAATAAATTCTGAAAATCTTTGTATTGACAGTGTGTTATCTCTGCATAACCATATATGTATAAGAGCGCTCAATAAAAAGAATAAAGAGGAAAAAGCACTGGATCTATACCTATACAAAACAAGCTACCAGCAGAGCCCACTGGGAGTGGTCATGATATAATCAGGAATGTTATATTCACACGTTGTAGATCTGCATATGAGAGGAGGGTTTGCAGATAGCAGATTCTAGAAAAGTTGTCTAATCAGACAGTAAATGAAGGTGTTGAAGCACTGAACAAAAATAAGTTGCTTTAATTACTCATAAGAGGGAAGTACAAGTCATTATTCCATCTGCCAATTTACAGACTGTAAGATACCCTTTAAAAGTAGCAGTAAGTAAACTCTTCATAAAAGTTAGACTGTATGACAAATCCACTGCCTTTCTTCTTTTGCAGCAGGGCCTTTCTTTTTAATTACTATTTTTTGTTTTTGGAGATGAAGTCTCTGTCACCCAGGCTGGAGTTCAGTGGCCTGATTGATCACTGCAGCCTCGACCTCCAGCTCACATAATCCTCCTGCTTCAGCCTCCTGAGTAGCTGGGACTACGGGTGTGTGCCACCATGCCTGGCTTTTTTAAAAAAAAATTTTGTGGAGTTGGTGTCTCGCTATGTTGCCCAAGCTGATGTCAAACTTCTGGATTCAAGCACTTCTGCCCAAAGTGCTAGGATTATAGGTGTGAGCCACTGTGCCCAAGCTAGTGACTATTTTTGAAAAAAAAAGCACATTACCCTCCCTTGTTAATCACTTATGTACAAAAATGCATGTTTTGCTGTTGATCTGTTTTAACTCTTTCTACATAAATAACACATTTGTACATGTATATGTGCAGATATATTTATAATGTTAAAATTGTGTTTAAGTGATGTTTACTAAACAGGATAAAATTTTGTTTGGAAAATTGCGATGTGAAATTTTATCTAGTTAATCTATAGTCCTTTCCCTTATGGTGTCCAGCTCTATGCAGGCTCTGCCTCACTCCAGATTATGTAAATATCAATTCATATTCAAATGAATTTGAAATTTAGCTTTCAACATTTGCCTTTTTAATTCATCTTGAAATCATTGTGGTAATATTATTTCCTGTCCACTAGCATACTTTTTAATCCCAACAGTAAAGTTTCTGAAAAGACCACTAGTTCTTCTATTGAGCAGTTACTGATACCTTGCCATTGAAGGGGAGGATAGATGCCCACAGCCCCTCTCCTTCAACCACATATGTCCAAGTAAAACTAGTATTTCTTCTTTTTAAAAAGATAGACATAATTATTTTCCGTATTATTGAATACATTTCTGTTGTAACCTCAGTTCTACTCTTCAGAATCCTTTGTTCGATTTTCTTGTAGTTGATTTGATGATCCCACTCACACTTTCCTACCAGTTGTTCCAGAGACGATGGGCTTAGTCACACAGTGGGGAGACACGTTTGTGGGGGTTGGGTGGAAGTTCTGGTTCAGGTCTGCATCTGTTCACCATCATTTATGATGATGCTGTAACTCACATCTGCTCTTTGATGAGAAGTCACACAAGTAATTGCTAAATTAACCCGTCAAATCTAACTATCATTCAGCTATGTCTCACTGAGCCTTTTCTGGACAAATCGTGTTGTTCTCAAGAATGTTTATGTGACTTTATCCTTTGTGCAAAGGCTATAGGCAACGGAAGCGATAGGGGAAGTATGTGGAAGGTTGACCCACATAGCTGTTGCCATATGCAACTTTTCAATCTTCTTGAATTCTGCTTCTCTTCCCAGTTCTTATCATCCATAGTGATTTTTGGAAAAACTGCCACTACATTGGCATTGTGAGTACTCAGAGTGGTGTGTCTCTTCTCCTTAGCTAGACTGTCAGGACAATTCTATTCGCTTTCAGACTTCCAAATGTCATCACATCTTATTCGTGCCTGACCTCCTTTTCTCTCATTCGCAAGATATTCATGGCTCCTTTTAAATAGGATAGTGGCCAAATGGAAAGTGTGTTATTTTCTGAAAAAATTGCTGAAAGGTCAGGAAAGTGGCAAATGTATTTGCTTATAAAATTTTTAAGGAAAAAATTAAGGTTGAAATGAAAGTAAGGATATTTTCATCCAATTACCTCATTCAATTATCATAATCAAGGTCAGAGAAGAAAGAAACTTCAGTTCAGCCTTTGCTAGAAGTAACTTGCAACAAATCACACATCTACGGACTCTGACATTCGCCCAGTGATAGCAGCAATGTTCCACATGTCACATGCTATACTGAAATATAGCAATTAAAATAGTTTTCAATGCAGATCAAGCAGTAATTACTTTTGCCCAGAAATCTTAAAAAATAAATTGTATGTGGAGAACAGGAAGCTTAGGAAATGAGGGTGCCTTTTATCTTTGCAGTGACAATTTACCTTGCGCTCGCAGTGACATTTTCTAGATTTTAAAAATCAACGTTTTTTATTTTTATTTATTTATTTATTTATTTAAATCTGCTGGCCCTTTTGCTTTTAGCAGCCACAGACTTCTTGGCCTCTCAAATGCCCGGATGCCTGAAACTTCTGAAGAGATACCGCCTTCAACTTCTTCTCAGTCACAGCACGGTGTGAACACATAGCTCCAATGATGCCTCTGCTTGCTTCAGCCTGCTGGTGCTTAATTAGGTGCTTATCCTAACACATTAGAACATACTTTCTGTAGATGGTTTAATTCCAACCATCATATATGCTTTTTCTCAGATTTTCTCCAGCTTCTCAAAACTTCCCTGTAAATGAGGCCTTGTAGGCAGCTTTCTTGCTATGACCTCACCTTCCATTCAGCACAGAAACAGCATCCATTGCTGTTATGCAATGGATAAAATTGTATAACAAAGGTTATGGTTTCATATCTTTAATGTTACTGGCAGACTTTACTCCTGGCCTTCTCCTAATCAATAGGCCAGTCTTCCCCTCCCCAATCCCCCATTTTTAGCCATCTAATTTTATTCCTTACATTCGTTCTTACAAAGGCAAAAACCTGGCCGGGCACGGTGGCTAATTCCTGTAAGCCCAGCGCTTTGGGAGGCCAAGGAGGGTGGATCATGAGGTCAGGAGATCGAGACCATCCTGGCTAACACAGTGAAACCCCGCCTCTACTAAAAATATAAAAAAATTAGCGTGGCAGCGGGCACCTGTAGTCCCAGCTACTCGGGAGGCTGAGGCAGGAGAATGGCGTGAACCCGGGAGGCAGAGCTTGCAGTGATCCAAGATCGCGCCACTGCACTCCATCCTGGGTGACAGAGCGAGACTCAATCTCAAAAAAAAACGCAAAAATCTTTTTTAGCCTTCTCTTCAGAATGGTTAAAATATATTGGCAACAAAAAAAATTTTTACAAATGATTTAAAACACAAATTATTTGCTTATTATTTTTCACAGTAATAACAAAGAATATAGACACTATATATGTTCCAATCACATTGATCATGCAGAAAATAAATATTCTTTGGTACTGGTTTTCCTTTGATCACAAACAGATATGAGGGCAAAATGTCTTATCACTTATTTACAAATAACTGATGGCCAAAATGGATAATTGTCATGATAGAAGTTATTGACACTGGCTGGGTGGGGTGGCTCATGCTTGTAATCCTAGCACTTTGGGAGACCGAGAAAGGTGGGATCACCTGAGGTCAGGAGTTTGAGACCAGCCTGGTCAACATGTAGAAACCCTGTCTCTACATAAAAAAAAATAAAAAATAAATAAACACTCTTTGGTTTTGGTGGTGGGCACCTGTAATTCCAGTTACTTTGGGAGGCTGAGGCAGGAAAGAAGTTATTGATACAAATATTTGCAAAAATAAAAAGTTATTTGATACCCACAAACAATTCCAAAGTATGTCCATGTGCTAATTTGTAAATAGGAAGGAAGTTCTTATTTTGAAACTTGCAGCCTGGAAAATATTTATAAGGTTGTTATGACATTGATAACTGGAGTACTTCCTATATCAACTTACTGGAATTTTGGAGACTGACTTTAAAATATAATAAAAAGGGAAAGACAGGGAATTGAACTTCCTTCTCATGTTTTTTACAAATTTTACAGGGAGCCAGAGTCTCATTTATGTAATCACAGATTTATTTTACAAGTTTGGACTTGCAAAAATACGCCAAAATTTGAATGTCTTACCCATTTTTTTGGGAAGCAGCTAAAATATGTAATGCACTGACCTTTTAATGTTCACTTTGATTGGTTAATGGTTACACCTTTACAGCTCAGTCAGATTGTAAACAAGGGGACAAAACTGAATATATAAGGTCAGAGAAGTATACTGACAACATTTATGAACCCCTATACATTTCCTATGAATAAAAAATGATTAAAATTCATACGTTTGCTTTTTAAATATATACATAAGAAACATCAAAAATTAATTCAAAGCATATATTAGCAAATATATTCTTAATTTTGTCTTGAATAACCTTCTTTAGGTGTGCCTTTTTCTACAAAGTTATGTCTTCATTAAACATTTTTCAAATTATTAGTATTATTATTTTTAACTGATGCTTCATATTTTATTTCCCCTCTGCTCTCCCATCCCACCCTTGGTGATGGTTGTGCCCATCTGAGCATTTCGGGGCACATGACCGTAAGTAAATCTTGAGAGAGGAGCGGAATTATTGTCTAAACAGTAACAGAAGGGGATTACCTGTAAGGATAGCATAACTGTTGTGCAGGAACAGAAGCTGCCCAGATCTTCTTGGTGGAGAGTGCATAGAAAAAAGACTTAGAATTATGGAACATCTGTCCCCCCAACCACCCTTTCCCACCCATCCCCCAAACCCCCACTCCAACCCTATTCCCCGCCCAATTAATAGTGTTAACAAAAGGTTAATCTAACTTTTTTTTTTTTTTTTTTGACGGAGTCTTGCTCAGTCGCCCAGGCTGGAGTGCAGTGGCGCGATCTCAGCTCACTGCAAGCTCCACCTCCCGGGTTCACGCCATTCTCCTGCCTCAGCCTCCCAAGTAGCTGAGACTGCAGGCGCCCGCCACGACGCCCAACTAATTTTTTGTATTTTTTAGTACAGACGGGGTTTCACCGTGTTAGCCAGGATGGTCTCCATCTCCTGACCTTGTGATCCGCCCGCCTCGGCCTCCCAAAGTGCTGGGATTACAGGCGTGAGCCACCGCGCCCGGCTTCCAGAATATAAAAAATGAGTTCCATGACGACAGGGCTGAGCTGGCAGGCCCCTCCATGGATCACCGGCACCAAGGCGCTGTCCAAATCATTCATGGACTGCGAGGGAAGGGGCTGGCCGCTGCTCCCTGCTTGATAGCCAGCCTGATCTGAGTCAAGTGTTACACGTAGTCCCAGTTTGGTCATTCCATCCTCCTTCAGAAGCTTCAGGAGCAAGGCAAAAAGCCTTGGCAACATGCTCAGTCAATCTACTGTGATCTGTAGGATCACTGAGGCAATTGTGCCGGTCATCGTTTCCTTGTAATCCCAGCACTAGGATTTCTAGGAAATCCTGGGAATCGTTTTCTAGAAAAAACGCCTCTGTCCATATGATGACTTTTCCATTTGCTTTGTATTCTGATCCGTGGAATATCTTCACATTTGTTATAGTCTCCATGGACTTCCCGTCTATAGGACTTACGACACCCTTGCTAACGTTCTTGTCATCATCCACTCACTGGATGTGCATGCGCTCCTGGGG
This sequence comes from Homo sapiens, assembly GCF_000001405.40. Classification (NCBI taxonomy): domain Eukaryota; kingdom Metazoa; phylum Chordata; class Mammalia; order Primates; family Hominidae; genus Homo; species Homo sapiens. Next base: position 22,690,974 of record NC_000015.10, read on the forward strand.
ATCCTCCGCGTCTGCCTTCCCACAGGTGATGCTGAAGTCCCTCGTCTCTAGCAGTGCCTGCCTCAAGGAATCCATGTTCTCTGCAGTGATCTGGACCATAACGCCATCTTCCACAATACTGGACTTGGCAAGATATCCAGAAGAGGATTTCAGAGCGCCACCGAACACAAAAAAACTGCTTTGAGTTTGCATATAGTTACAGTAGTACTGAAAAATCCTCGCAATTTAGGTTTTTGTTTTCAGTTTTGTTTCTCTGTTTTCTAGTGCATAATGACTTAATAAATATTCATTTAACAAAAATTGAAATCTCAAAGGTACATATAAATAAACAATATAAATAACCATCCTTATTACAGTTAACTTTGTGCTTTAAAAAAAAAAAGGCATCCAAAGAAAGACAGACGTATTCATGCAATAAAATCTTAGCAATCCCTGCAATAGTTTTCCAGAATTATCAGCCCTCCCATCTTAGTCTGGACAGAATGAAAAAAAAATTAGTTCTCTCGTGTTATTCTTTGAGCTCCAACTAGGAAAAATTACTGAAAACAGCTGGACGTTACAACTGTTTTGGGCAGAGAAGTCACACTGTTCAGGAGGACCCCACGGTAGAAACTGTTTTAAAAAAGTTCTTTTTACTTGAAATTACACAAGAAAGCAGAAAATGACATTGCAAAAAGGAAAAAAGTATAGGCAGGAACATTGTTACAGAAGCCAGGTGACAATGAGAAGTAGAGAGTAGAAAGCAATCAACCCTTTTGACCACTGAGAATGAGGATAGTAGAAATTCAATGGCTCATGGATAGCAACAGTCACTCACATGTCAATAACAGGGATTCTGAAGAGTCAGACTTATGCATACACAGAGCATCTCTACCACATGCATGAATTGTGTGTGAGTTTGGTGATAATGAAGAGAGACAAACTGCTGCATCAACTAATATACTCTGGGAGTGAAGAGCAGGATAAAAAAAAAACTGTAGAGACCACTACTCTAGGTCATTTAAGTATTTTAAGGGGAAAAAAATAACATAATAGAAGAAAGTGATAACTATCTGGAGTGGTGGGATGGGTGGCTTCTGACACAGCTCCCATGTTTCTGATTCCACCTCCCGATATCTTGTATTATCTCCCCTTCTTGAGTATGAGCTGGACCTGGTGCCTTGCTGCTAAGAAACAGAATTCAACAAAAGTAATGCGGTGTTACTTCCTTGGTTAGCTAACAAGGAACTATGTCTTGCCCCTTGCTAGCCACCCCCAACTCTTGCTGGCATTTCCTCTTGCCCTCTCGCTTGCTTGCTTTGATAAAGAGAGTTGCCATGTTGTGTGATGCTTTGTGGAGAGACCCACGTGACAAGGAACCAAGGGAGTTTACAGCACAACACCTGGCACAAAACTAAAGCCAACAACTATGTGAGTGAGTCTGCAAATAAATCATTCCCTGTCCAGCCTTAAGATGACTGCAGACTTTTAAAAGAGTGAGAGTCAGAGGCCACAGCTAATCCACATGTGGATTCCCACCAACAAAAATTGAAATAATGTGTATTTTAAAATGCTAAGTTTGGGGGTGATATGTTACATATAAATAGATAAATAATAAAGATGGTTTGGCATGGAGATAATGACAGAAAGGAATTCGACTATTTTAATAGTCCAATGAAGAGGTATGAAAGATCTGAATTTGGATGGTAGCAGTGTGAATGATGTAAAAGAATGTGAGATTCTATAAGGTAAGATTTTATAGGACCTACCAATAATAGGGGTGAGAGGAGGATAGAGAGATGGGAGAGAGAAAGGGAGGGGGAAAGAGAGAAAAGGAGAGGGAGAAGTGGTAAATGAACAAGATTTTTAGTTCAAGTCAGTAGGAAAACCACTGGCAGAGTTGTTTTATTTAAGCATTAACAATTACTTTCCGAGCAACTGTGATGTGTAAGACATTATGTTATCTGTACTAGACACTGAGATGAACCCTCAAAATGGTGACGCCCTCAAAATGGTATAGTGCAAAGTAGAATGTTGTGAAATTTTTCCTAATGGAGAAATTCATCCAATTAGCATTTGAGGAAAGGTATATGTGAGTTGGACTTTGGATAGTAACATACAGAGATTAGCATTAGAAAGGAAGCAAAATATTTCATTAGACATATAAAGAAGTCAATAGTTTATTTTCACTAGATTGCAAGCATATGAAAAAGACAACGGGAAAATGTGTCTCAATGTCAGCCTAAATTTAACATCTTATTCTGTAGTGAAATCACAGGACAAGTAAATAGATGTCTTGCACTTAGGACAAATTATTTAAGTTTGTTGAAGAAATGAGATGATTGATTTTATTTTTAAGTAATAAGTAATGTGAGAAAATCTGCAATCAGTAAGATTTATGTAGATCCAGGCTCAACAAACTACTGCCGATGGGCCAAATCTAGTCTGCAGCTCATTCATGTAAACAAAGTTTCATTGGAATATAGCCGTCCTCATTCATTACGTAATGTCTATGGCTTTGACAGAGACTGTGCCACCTGCAAAGTCAAAAATATTTACTATCTGTCCCTGGACAGGAAACGCTTCTCAATCCCTGGTCTACATCATAAAATGGATTTGAGTAGAGAGAAAGAAAAAAAACTCATTAAAACATATGGGGTGTTACTGCCTTAAACAAGTAGTATACTAACAATAGAAATGGAAAGGAAAAGTTGGAGTGTGCATGTGGGTATGCATCTGTGTGCATTTGTGTGTATGTGATGAAAACTGTTTAAATGCAGGGTACAATATAGAAGAGGAGGCCATCGTGGTGCTTAGATGGCTCTGAATTGACAGTCTCCTCCGTTAATATTTAAGTGCAATTTTGGAGAAATAAGTCTTTCCACTCAACTCTTAAGTGGTTTAATCAACTGGCCATAATTTTTTCCTAATGGTTAGAAAGGATAAGTTACTCAGAAGGAAAAGTAGTATTGATTGAGAAAGAATTATAATGGAAGGGGGGGGTGATTGCATACTTCTAGGAAAGCTGGAGGGAACAGCTAAAAAACAGTATGATACTGAACACTTGGATGAAAGCATGAGTGAAAGCAGGTGAGAGCAGCCCTAAAAGGAAGCCAGTTTGCACCAAAAGTAAACACTGGTTTTCATGCTGCCTCTTGTATATATGTATCAAAAGATACTGGTACTTAACGTATAAATTAGAATATTAACTTTTAAAATATGAATTGAACTTATATGGGGTTTAAAAAAATCAATTATTTAAAAACATCACCAGGTTCCTTTTGTTGTTTAAATTCTCTCCTGATAGAACTAAATAGGGGTCTCTTAAACAGGGTTCAAGAAGCAGAAACATACATAATGGTACTCAGGATTCAATGCATTAAAGATTAATATTCCTTGAATTAGAAGAGCCGAACTAAGCATCCAAACACCAGATATAGGTCTAGAATAGCAGATACATCTAAGTAGGTTTCAACTGTCTAAGGGCACATGCCTGGTGCAGGGACATGAACAAATTGTGAGTAAACAGGGATAAAAGCCCTATGAGGGATGTTTAACATTGAAATGTATAAAGTTTTTATTTAATCACAAAGTTTTCTATATTGGCTAAAATTTTATAATGATAATGAATTATTCATGTGGAAATTAAAAACTGTTTTTTTGTATTTTTAAAGAAAAAAGCACAAATACACCCATAGAACACTGTGAAATATTATCTTTCACAATGTACACCAGGCCAGGAAATTATTGGGCTAATTTGAGTCTTCAACAAAATTTTACTTTGTGAAGAAAGAAATAAGACAATGCTGGAGGGACCAAGGTTTTCATTTGCCTGTGCTCCTTCTGATGCCATCTTTACTCTCCAGGTGAAAGGATGTTTCTGAGATCAATATTCCTCTCCTTTGATAGTTACCTTCTTTTAAAACCTACTGAACACTGACTTACTCAGCTCTTCTCTATTCTTCCCCGTTTCCTCTGGGTCCTTTGATAATAGATGCTGGTATCCCTGTCTGTCATTCACTCCTATATGGTTCTCAGGATTTGTTTGCTGTTCCTCCCTCTGTTAACCTGAACCTTATGGGCCAAAGTAAATTACTCTCCCAGCACCTTTTATACAGAGTGGTCCATAGTAGTTTTCCTGACACCTATGTTATTACACATTTCTCTCCAAGAACATCTCTAAAGCTTTATGATTTATACATTTGAGTTACCTTAGACCAATTGACCTAAACACAAGATATGCTGTCACATTTTAAGCTGCTTCCTCAGAATATGTTGGTTGAAATCTACTGCCTCTCCCTTGTCCAGGGTTTCTAAATACCCGTAGGGTAGCTTCTCAATAATATATATTACTAATAGCTCAGAATGATTATTATACTAACAAGAACTTTTTACTTTCATTACTGTGTCAGAGGACTCGGAATATCATTAGCAAAACCTGTTTAGAACAGCCATCTTAAATCCTTGTTGAACCAATTCCAGCATGCTTTTAATCTAAGTAATCCTGGCGCCGTGGCTCATGCCTGTAATCCAATCACTTTGGGAGGCCGAGGCAGGCAGATCACGAGGTCAGGAGATCCAGACCTTCCTGGCCAACATGGTGAAACCCCATCTCTACTAAAAATACAAAAATAGTTGGGCGTGGTGGCATGTGCCTGTAATCCCAGCTACTCAAGAGGCTGAGGCAGGTGAATCTCTTGAACCCAGGAGGCAGAGGTTGCAGTGAGCTGAGATCGCGCCACTGCACTCCAGCCTGGTGACAGAGTGAGACCCCATCTCAAAAAAAAAAAAAAAAAAAAAGAAATCTTGAGTAGTACATTCCTTCCCAAGATGAGCATGCAAACAAAGATAACATGACTTTTTATTCTATATGTACGTTTGAAAGATCTCTTTAGTCCTTTAAAAACTTCATGAGATGTATAATTTTATAAATATTGAGATGCTTTGGGAAAAATATTGAAGAAAGGCCATTTGATTAGGCATAAAGCACTTAAAGTGAATGACAAGAAAGTTGCATAGGTCAAAATAGGTCCACAAAAATGTATAGATTAATGAACCTTCCAATGTGAACTGACTGTTTCTCTGAGTGTCTTTTATAATTATGGGTGAAGGCTGAGGATTGGGCCTGGCCCAGATATGGATTAGGGGTAAAATAAGCAGTGGCACACAAAAGATATTTTCCCTGAGGCATATTGACTGAATTATTGTGATATATGCAAGAATGAGGAGTTATTCCAGAAGATTTCAAGAGACAGAATAAAATCTTCAAGAGTATCACAGCAACTGGGAGACAAACTCATTGCAAAGAAGAGAGCCTGCCCCAAAAGCATGGCCAACTCCCTTGTTCAACACATTTCTAAGATTTTGAAGCTGAATAGGGTGAAATGCTAAAGAGCTAAGCCCAATACCCCTGAAATTAAAATTTAATCTCCAACAACATTTTTTGAGACTAATGAGAAGTAGTTCCAACCAGCTCTCAATCAAAAGCTCAAAAGGAACAAACTTCAGAAACAGAGATAAGCCAAAGATGCCAGTCTTACTGAAACTAAAACTGAATCCTGACTGCTCCAATATCTGATTGTATTGGTAATGACTTTCTCCCAACACTATCTGCTTAATAGAGAAAAGTGGGAATACATTCTAAAACTACTATTATCAGAATACTTTATTATTCTTTTATACACAATGTCCAGCATGATACAAAAAACGTCTAGATATGTGAAGTGGCAAAAATTGTATTAATCAAAACACATGTGCACAATAAGCACAGCTCACTGATTCACAGTTCAGAATTTAGCAGACAAATTTAGAATGACCGTTGCTAATATAATAAAAGTAGGCAAACTGGATGAAATGATGGAGAGTGCAGCGAAGATTTAAATATCTGTAAAAAGTCACACAGATATTCTAAAACAGAAACATAATAATTGAACTTATGTCACTGAATAGGTTTGCTTTAGAATAAATGTAGTAAAACAAGTTAACCTGAAAAGAGATTCATAGAAATAATATAAATTGATCTATAGAAATAATCTCAACTGAAGAGATTTAATAAAGCAGAACAAAAAAGACATAAGGCACTGTCACAACATCTACTATAACTAAACTGGACATAAAGACAAGTGAGAGAGAATGGAGAAGCAGCAATATCGGAAGAGCCGTTGGTCAAAAATTTTGTAAAATTGATAAAGAATATCAACCTACTTGCAAGAAACTTAACAAAACCTAAGGAATATAATACAAATAAAACTTTACCTATCCAGATTATAAGCTGCTGAACCAAAACAAAACTCTCAAAAGTAAGTAAAAGAGCACAAATAAGTATTCCAACAAAAACAATAGAAGCTGGAGACAATGAAATGGCATTTTAACATGCTGAGGGGCAAATTTGCCAGTCTAAAATTTAATAACCAGTGAAAAAACACATAAAAGTGAAGCGCAGTAAAATATATTCAGACAAGTAATTGTTGAGAGAATGTTTGCCTAGGAGAACTGAACTACAGAAATACTAAGGAAAGTTCTTCAGACTAAGAAAAAATTATCCCAGAGAGAAGCATACAATTAGAGGAAGCAATGAAATTAACTGAAATAAAAGCCTTAAAATATTGGCACAAGAAGTTCTAAAGATCTGAGTAAGTTCTGTATGTATTATAGAAACTATATTTATGATTAACACATTTTACACACACACACACACACACACACACACAATTCCAACCACATGTGGATTACCTGGTGAATCCTTACCAAAACTTAAGGAACTAATTGAACTAGTCTTACACAAGCATTTTCAGGAAATAATACAAAAGAAAGAACACTTTAATTTTTTTGTGGGAAGCCAGTAATCATTGACACAAAAATCCGAAAGATATTAAAGAAAAGTAATTTATAAAGAATATTCACCATGAAAATAAACCTGAGAAGTAAGGATAAATATAATTAACTTGTCTTTTACAAAGTTTAAATGTTGAATAAAATATATGACAAAGAGTGGGAGTAGCTAAATAGTGTTCAACTGCTCTAAGGTCCTTACATTGTTGGAGAAGTGGAAAAAGTACGAACATACTTCAGAAATAGTAGTCCACAATAGTTGAGAATAAATATTATATCCTCTAGGATAACTAAGGTACTTAAGGTAGTCCACAATAGTCTAGAATAAATATTCTGTAGGATAACTAAAAGTACTAAAAAGGAATTACAAGTATTTTAATAAAATGAAAAATAAATAATTATTCTAAAAATGGAAAAAAGGCCGGGCGAAGTGGCTCCTGCCTGTAATCCCAGCACTTTGGGAGTCCGAGGCGGGTGGATCACAAGGTCAGGAGTTCCAGACCAGCCTGACCAACATGGTGAAACCCCATCTCTACTAAAAAATACAAAAATTAGCCAGGCGTGGTGGCGCATGCCTGTAATCTCAGCTACTCAGGAGGCTGAGGCAGGAGAATCACTTGAACCCAAGAGGCGGAGGCTGCAGTGAGCTGAGATGGCACCACTGCACTCCAGCAGGGGCAACAGAGCGATTAAAAAAAAAAAGCCAAAAAAGGAAATAAGAATAAAAAAAGATAGTACAAATATAAAAATATTAAATCCAGAATTTTAAAGATTAAATCCAGAATTTTAATACAGAAGATTGTTTCAGAAGATTGTTTCAGAAGATGTGGAATAACTACCACTCTTATAGACTGTTGTGTGAATGTGAATCTGAACAACCATCTTGAAAATTCTTTTGGCGAGATCTACTGAAGTTAAATGTTTGCATACCCTTTGACCCAGCAATTCCACTCCTGGGTATATATACTCAAGATCAATGAGTACTTCAGTCTAACAAAAGATATATATAACATATTCAATTAGCATTATTTATAGTAGCCCAAAATTAGAAACAGATGAATCATCCAATAGCACAGTTATATATTCATAAAATGGAATACCCCTATTAAAATTATAAAGTATGAACTATAGGTATATACAAGAATCTCATAAATTTTGAAAACCTAATATTGAATAAAATCAGCCATATGCAGGAGCATATATACTGCATGATACTATTTTTATGAAGCTCATTAACAGCCTATTAACATTAATTCATTAATGGAATGAATCTATATAAATAGAGGTCAGTATAGGAGTTATCTTTTTTTGGGTTGTAGTTGACTGAGATGGCAAGAAGAAGGTTTATGGGGTATTTGTAAGATTTTTTTTTTTTTTTGGAGGTGGAGTCTCTCTCTTGTCACCCAGGCTGGAGTGCAGTGGCACAATCTGGGTTCACTGCAACCTCCGTCTCCTGGGTTCAAGCAATTCTTCTATCTCAGCCTCCCGAGTAGCTGGGATTACAGGTGCCTGCCACCACACCCAGCTAATTTTTGCATTTTTAGTAGAGACGGGGTTTCATCAGGCTGGCCAGGCTGCTCTTGAACTCCTAAACTCAGGTGATCCACCCGCCTCGGCCTCCCAAAGTGCTGGAATTACAGGCATGAGCCACCGCGCCCGGCCTGTAAGATATTTTTTATCTGAGTTGTTCCATGTATGAAGCTATGTGAAAATTCAATGAGGTGTATACTTAAGATCTGTACACTCTGTTATGTGTAAATTATACATTAATATTTAAAAGAAAAATGAGTAGATTAATAAAACACAGTTTGGTTTTACAGATACCTATCTATGACCCAACCATTCTACATTTAAGTATATACCCAACAGATAAGACTGGGAATTTTTTACACCAAAAGACTTTCATTATAATATTATTTTTATATGCAGACACTCAAAACAGTTCAATTGTCCACCAACAGCAGAATGTAAAAATATTTTATGGATCATTGATAGAGTGGAATAAAATACAGCAATTAAAGAACTGCTGCTACATCTGTGGTGTCACAAATATGCCTGCATTCATAGAAATTTCCTCAGGAAAAATGAATCTATTGTAGAGGAAGTCAGAAAAGTGTTCTATTCGGTAGAAGAAAATCAATGAGGCATGAAAGAGGCTTCTGAGGTGCTCTTGTTTATGGTGGTCACATGACTGAGTCCATATTGAAAGATTATAAAAATTGTACACTTATGATTGATGCACTTTTTAGTCTATAACAATGTATTCATTTGTAGGAGCTGCTCTCCAAGGTACCACAAACCGGGTGGCTTAAAACAACTCACATTTATTGTGTCACGGTTTGGGAAGCTAGAAGTCTGAAAACAAGATGTAGTCAAGGTAGTTTCCTCCAGAAGGATATGAGGGAGGCTGTCTGTGTCTCTTGCATCTCTCCCAGGATCTGGTGGTTTGTTGGAAATCACTGGTGTTTCTGAGTTTACAGATGTGTCAGCCCAGTCTTCCATATAGTGTCTGCATATAGTCTTCCCTCTGTGCATGTTCCCCTTGTGTTCAATTTTCCCCTTTTTATAAGAACACTAGTAATATTGGATTAGTACCCACCCTAATGACCCCATTTTAACTAGACAACCTCTGTAAAGACTCTGTTTCTATATAAGGTCACATTCTAAAGTATTGGGGGTTAGGGCATTAGCATATATTTTCGGGAAAAACACAGTTCAACCCATAACAACATATAATTCCATTTTTAAAATCCCAAAATTACATCTAGCCTAAAAAGGAATGAAATTGAAATAAAGATCGCAGAGGCCTGCAGTAAGCCTTGATGATGTAATACCTGTTTATAAACCAAATGTTAGAATGGCTTGAAACAGAATTGAACATTTTTGCGCTATAAGACACATAGGAGAAATTTTAAGTACTTTTTTTGGATGAGACATTAGTCTCAACAAGACTGAATGATTTTCTTTTAAGGTCACACATTTAAATAGTTATCAGGAGAAATAGCGACCAGAATCATAGTCAAATACCCACCTACCCCCTTTCCAAGACAACTAAGGTCTCAAATTGTGCCCATTTTTCTCAAATTATTTCTAGAATGTTTAGCAAAAGAGGCTTTTAATTTGGCATATCTTTGTCTACAATTTTGTAGTTTATGTAAAGAAAGGTAGACTAAGGGAATTTCATTTTAAAGGTGAGAATCAGAATGACATTTGTGAAGCTATGATGCCTGTGCCATCTGGCATACACGAGGGTGTAGTACTAAATGGGATCAGAATGAGCTCCTTTTGGAAGGAAACCTTTAATAGACTGGGAAACATTAAGGGAATCTTCCCTTTTTTATTTTTATTTTATTTTCTTTCTTTCTTTTTCTTTTCTTTTTTTTTTTGAGATGGAGTCTCGCTCTGTCACCCAGGCTGGAGTGCAGTGGCGTGATCTCGACTCACTGCAAGCTCCGCCTCCTGGGTTCACGCCTTTCTCCTGTCTCAGCCTCCAGAGTAGCTGGGGCTACAGGCGCCCACCACCACGCCCGGCTAATTTTTTGTATTTTTAGTAGAGACGGGGTTTTACAGTGTTAGCCAGGATGGTCTCGATCTCCTGACCTTGTGATCCGCCCGCCTCAGCCTCCCAAAGTGCTGGGATTACAAGCGAGAGCCACCATGCCCGGCCTTTTATTTTTAATAGAGCATTGGAAAATGAATTCTGCATAGCTGGCTAATGAAGGAAATCCAGAGTCATTGCCAAAACCAAGTTTTAAAGGAATTTGCAATCCTTCACAGTTCATTCAAGGAGGCAATGGAAATTTTGAAGAAGAAATTTTTTAAAATCTTTCTTAAAAGGAGCCCTTACATTGGCATTGTATCATGACTAAAGTCTTGCTCCCTCCCTCTCTCCCTTCTATGCTTTTTGTTTCTCTTTTCTATCTTTCAATGACATCAGTTTCATGGAGATAAATGGTTAAAAGATAATGATTACAACACATACAGTTGAGTGACACAAATCTTGTTGTAGTGTTAGAAATACATCAATACATTGGGATCATAAAGAGAAATGGCAAGAAAAAAATCTAAGTTAATAACAGAAAATGCTGATTCCCACAGTCCGTGTGGAAAATACACGTTTTTTTTTATGTCAGTGGAGATAACTGAGACCAGTTAATATTGTCAATTCTGTTCCTTCTGACTGAGCCAGGTGAGGCAAAATTTAGCAGATGACTTGAGGGACAAAACTATGACCTTGGCAACATAAAAATTAATACTGTCTACATTGTTTACTAGGAAATGCATGCAAAATTAATACACTCTTGGTAGTACAGGTTGGTTTCACTTCTATAGTGTGTGGTTACTAGAAAGCTGATTCAACAGATGATAGATTCAACAGACGACATAGAATTGTCTAAAATCCAGCCGGGCGCAGGGCCTCACGCCTGTACTCCCAGCACTTTGGGAGGCTGAGGAGGGCAGATCACAATGTTAGGAGATCGAGACCATCCTGGCTAACATGGTGAAACCCCGTCTCTACTAAAAATACGAAAAAATTAGCCGGGAGTGGTGGTGGGTGCCTGTAGCCCCAGCCACTCGGAAGGCTGAGGCAGAAGAATGGCGTGAACCCGGGAGGCGGAGCTTGCAGTGAGCGGAGATCGCGCCACTGCACTCCCGCCTGGGCGACAGTGCGAGACTCCATCTAAAAAAAAAAAAAAAAGAATTGTCTGAAATTCATCTTCAATTAGTCCATGGCATGTTTTGGAATTTATTCACTTGTTTGCCTCAGGAACAGTAGCCGTTCAGATTTGTTCTTTGATTTTGGAAATGAGGTTACCGTGCTCTGTAGTGTCAGGAAGATGACGTGGCATAATCAGGCAAACGGCTAGGCATTTTCTCAGCAGTAAATTACCAGTGCCCTTGCTTGCCATAATACCCACAAAAGGCAGAGGCAGTTTCCTGAGGCAATCCAGGCCACAAAGAACTGTACATTTGGGGAAAACGTATCTTCAAATATATATGTTAAAATCTAAAAAATTGGTTAGTATGTATTACTTTTGTGGATATTTAAACATTCCCTATGCATAAAGACCTAGTTAAAGAGGTGCAGGCATTTGGCATGTTAAATAACTCCTTGATGAGAAACCACACTACGAATAATAAATATGACTTCATAAAAATGAAAAATAATGAGATTAGTTTCTATTGAACTATTCTTGCTTAGAATGCCCCTGAATTTCAGTCATAGAAATTCACTTGTACCTGGGTAAGTTACAAGTTCTTATTTGTGCTGGTTTCTGTGTCATTGGCAATTAAAATTTTGGTAAGTTGAATAAAAGATCTTTCTAAAAAGGGAGTTCTTTTTTTTTCTTTTTTGAGGGGGACGGAGTCTCGCTCTGTCGCCCAGGCTGGAGTGCAGTGGCGCGATCTCGGCTCACCGCAAACTCCACCTCCCGGGTCCATGCCATTCTCCTGCCTCAGCCTCCCGAGTAGCTGGGACTACCGGCGCCCGCCACCACGCCCGGCTAATTTTTTTTGTATTTTTAGTAGAGACTGGGTTTCACCGTGTTAGCCAGGATGGTCTCCATCTCCTGACCTCGTGATCCGCCCTCCTCCGCCTCCCAACGTGCTGGGATTACAGGTGTGAGCCACCGCGCCCGGCCAAAAGGGAGTTCTTACACTGGCAATGTATCATGATTAACGTTTTCCTCCCTCTTTCTCTCCCTCCCACATATGTATTTTCGTGTCAGTATATGTATATGTGATTTGTGCCATTTGTGTGTGTGTAGGTAAATGAAAGTGGCATCAAGAAAATCTCACATTAAAAAAATTTGAGATAGTACAATTCTTATGCATCATATGTTGCATAATGTTTGACTATTAAGAAGTTTGCATCACACGTCTACTTATTTCATTAAACATGTTACAGGCAATTAATTTACTTACACCCTCCGTTTCTTTTTTCCCCCTCTCTGGGTCTCCTGCTACAGGGTCATTATATGTTCCACTCACAAAATGTCCTTGTTTTTCCCTTACTCCTGTCATTGATCTTCTGAATCTTTCCGGTGAATTTAGCATGGATGTTTTGATAGAAAGCTCTGGCATTAACTCTGGAGTTGTTTTGCAAGGAAGATTGTTCGCTTTTTCACCATTTTTTTTTTTAGGTCCTTGAAGTGTTTTCACATAGATATTTCACAAGAGCCATTTCAGAACTGAGAACATTCGGCGTGCACTTTTCCTCTTTTGGTCCCACAGTTTTTATGAGTCCTACTTGAAATTATGTTTGCTCCCGTTTCAATTGTAATATTGCACTTACTCATTAGTTTTTAGTTTGAACTCTCCTGGGAGGTCTAATGTAGAGTTTGGACAAGGACACAGATTCATAATAAACCTACCCAGTCAATTTGGTATAAAGGCTTAGAAGGTGGAACTGGCCACATTTTGAATTGGAGGTAAGGATCAGGAATGGTAATGGAGAGACATACAGGATTTTCTTATGGGAACAAGAAACAACCTCTGGGCAGTATTAGAGCCCAGAGAGTGAAAAGCCTCTTCTAACTTCAATATTCTATGTACAAATTTACAAGACTTTTTTTTTTTTCTTTTTTTTTGAGACGGAGTCTCACTCAGTATCCCAGGCCGGAGTGCAATGGTGCGATCTCAGCTCACTGCAAGCTCCGCCTCCCGGGTTCACGCCATTCTCCTGCCTCAGCCTCGCGAGTAGCTGGGACTACAGGCGCCTGCCACACCCGGCTAATTTTTGTATTTTTAGTAGAGACTGGGTTTCACCGTGTTAGCCAGGATGGTCTCCATCTCCTGACCTCGTGATCCGGCCGCCTCGGCCTCCCAAAGTGCTGGGATTACAGGCGTGAGCCACCGCGCCCGGCTGAGACTTTTAATTGACAGACTGCATTGCATAAGCCAAAGGCCAACAGAGAGGTGACCTTTCAAATTACTGGCACAACAGGAGCCGAGATCAGAAAGCTCCAACTTAATGCAAACATCGACAAGAAATCCGACAGAAATGACTTCTGTGTCTGGTCAACTTAACATAACATGACATATTGTCAAGCGCATTTTGCTTTTTAGGTAGAATTGTCTATAACGATTTAACTGCTTTAGAAAATATAAATGTGAAGATTTGTGGTATTCGGGTTTATATATAAGATATTTCTACATTTAAAAGAGACAGAGTGGAAAAGCTTGATATAAGATTTGTAAAATATGTTTGTAATAATGCTAATGGAAGAGGTGAGAGTTGGGTGGGGTGCGGTGTAGATGGGAACATGGTTTGGGGATTGGGGAAAGGGAAGTCATGCTGTAAATAAAATAGTGAGGCATGTTGTATAAAGTGTGTTTTATGTCTCAATTGAAATGTTATAGGGAGAAATTTAAAATAGATCATGATTGGTTTTGAATCTGATTTCTAATTTTAAAATGTTATGAGCTTTTGTTGCTTTCCTATTTCATACACATTTCTTTATGGGTTTCACTTAGACTGCATGAAATTGCAGATGCCAATTACCTTTCAATAAAATTAAATTCACATATATGTATAATTTGCATGTATATATTCACGGAATTTTTTATTCTATACGTGACATTATTTTTAAATGGTTTATCAATGACATAACGTATAATTTTTCTATACTTTCAGTTTTCTGGTTTGGATTTTTTCTGGCAACACTAATTTTCACCTACCTATACTCATTGATAGTATAAAGTTGTACAAGTGCATATTTTACCATGATTACAGTTGAATAGATGACTGGAGGTACATCTATGATGACTAATACTTTCTAAACACATATTTACCTCTCATATATCTGTGTAAATGATTGTAAGAGGAAGGGGAAAATAGAGATGTATCATTAGGTATACTGTCTTAAAGCACATTCAGCTGCTCTCATGTTTGGAGAATTTTGAATGTGA